>NC_000001.11:211820950-211972465 GCF_000001405.40 Homo sapiens
AGGCAAAAAGACCAAGTCAATAATAGGAAAAAATTCAATCTGGCTTCATATAACATTTAATATCAGAAGACATTTGTATAATACCTGTAAGATACTCAAAAAAAAGAAAGTGTGAGGCAACATGGCAAAACTCCATCTCTACTAAAAATACAAAAATTAGCTGGGTGTGGTGGTGCATGCCTGTAATCCCAGCTAATTGGGAGGCTGAGGCAGGACAATTGCTTGAACCCAGGAGGCGGAGGTTGCAGTGAGCTGAGAACGCACCACTGCACTCCAGCCTGGGAAACAGAGTGAGACTCCATCTCAAAAAAACAAAAAACGTATAAAGCAACAAAAGACAAATTCTGAAAATGTTGTAAGAATAATATCCTCATCTTGTTCCCCTGAGCCCTTATTGAGAAACTACTAGAGGATAAACTTCAGCCAACCAAAGAATGACTCTGCACAAAGTACCTGGGTGAACATTACATTTAACTAAAGAATTAAGACAAAAACAGATGGAAATGAAGCTGATAAAATAGAATGTAAATATTATAGGCTATAACACTGTATAAACTCAAATAACATAAATTGAAAGAAGGGAGAAAGCAGAGAGAAGTATAATAAGCTTACTGATTACCTTGATGTAATAGCTGGGAGTCAATGTATAGTCTTAAAGCTCAAGTAGTAGAAGCATAAGCATACATAATAGCACAGATGTATACGCTATTTTAAATAAATATTACTGACTAAGATTGGGTGAGGAAGAAGAGAAAGGGGAAGACACAAGGATTAAAAAGAGTTTTACCTTTGGTCATAGAAGAGAATGAATGGTTACTATCAATAGAGAACTAAGAATATTAAAGTAATAAGACTGAAATACAAACCTTCCTAAATATCAGAACTGAAAAGCAAAGAAAAAGATACTACACAGTGAAAGACTTAACATTCATATGTATATATAAATAGAAAACATAAAATACAATGGCAGAACCATGACAAATTTTTGACATATGAATAAATATAAATATGGATTCAACTCATATTAACAGAGATTTTCAAATTCACTCACAAAGCAAAACCTAACTCCATGCTGTATACTAGAGACACATCTAAATCAAAGCAAATTATAAAAATTGGAGTTTGAAAACAAAAGGATTGGCAAAGATATGCCATGCAAATGTAAACAAAAATAAACCAAAAACTATTTTACCCAGCTCTTTCTGACTCCAGAACTTGAGGTCTTACTACAAACACTACAAATACTGCCCCCTGAGCTTCTGTAATAGTCTATGTGAAGGTGTGTGCATGCATGATTATATATATATTTCAAAATAAGTATCTAAAATAAATTATTCAATTATAAACTATCTTTGAAATAAGGACATCAAATTTGTAGTACCACCAAATTGCTGAGTTTAAAGCATTTAGTAATATTTACCTTTAATTACCTACCACAGGGATGGAGAAGAACAAAAATATTTCCTTTCATGATATATTTTCCATAGAAAAATCAAAACACTACTGAAAACTCTTCTCCTGGATTTACGTCAAGATCAGTCGTCGGCCAGGCGCAGTGACTCACACCTGTAATCTGAGCACTTTGGGAGGCTGAGGCAGGTGGATCACTTGAGGTCAGGAGTTCGAGACCAGCCTGGCAAACATGGTGAAACCCCATCTCTACTAAACATACAAAAAATTAGCCAGGCATGGTGGTACATGCCTGTAATCCCAGCTACTCGGGAGGCTGAGACAGGAGAATCACTTGAACCCAAGAGGCGGACGTTGCAGTGGGCCAAGATCGTGCCATTGCACTCCAGCCTGGGTGACAGAGCAAGACTTCATCTCAAAAAAAAAAAAAAAATCAGTTGTCAACCTAACATCATGCAGTAACTCCTCACTCTGATGACAATCTACTTTCAAGCACCCAAAACCAGAAATTCCAGTGGAGTTTTTGTTCTCCACATGAGTAGAGAGCCTTAAGGAAGTTAGATTTTATGAAATGTCCATTATACTACAACATTTCCATTGAAGCACCAAGTTTTTAACCTCTTGAAGAAATCTATAGCTATATTACTTTCAGATGTTAAAGAGTTGCATCTTCAGAAAGAGATTCCATGCCTCAAAAGCAAAAGGGCATATGGGTAGTAAAAATTAAGAAACACTCTAGGAACATTATCTAAAGGTCAAAATTGGCTCTTCAAATACAAAAATCAACTTGTGGCAACATCAATCCAGTTAATGCTTCTGGGGAAGTAACTGTGAAACCTCTTTCAATTTCAACATCTATAACAAAAGGAGAAGTGATAACAGTACCACCCTGATAAAATTATTGCGATCATTAAGTGACCGAAGCACTTTGGTCACTGCCTGGTTTATTTTTCAATAAATCTTAGCTAATATAATCACCACAAATATACATATTCCATCTCTTAAATGAATTATAATTATTAAGAATTCAAAGGAATTCAAATTCCTTCAAAGCCTCTCCCTAAGTCCCCTATTCCCTCCCTGTCACCACCTACCACTGATGCTAGATCAGGAGCCCCTCCTTTTACCTCCCCTTGTACCCCTGTATATTTTCATTGTTGGTGCAGTCTCCCCACCAAGGCTGCTGTGAGCTCCTTAAAGTCACTGATTACGTCTTGTGCCTATCAGGTACCTCCAGGGTACCTGTTCCCACAGATAACTGAAGTTCAATAAAGGTGTGTTAAATTAGTAAATGTGGCCAGGCATGGTGGCTCATTCCTATAATCCCAGCATTTTCAGAGGTCAAGGAAGGAGGAGCCCTTGAAACCAGGAGTTCAAAACCAGCCTGGGCAACAGCAAGATCTCATCCCTACAAAAACTTTTTTTAAATTAAAAAGGCACAGTGATGCACACTTAGTGTCACAGCTACTTGAAAGGCTGAGGCAGGAGAATCGCTTTTGAGTCCAGGAGTTCAAGGCTGCAGTGAGCTAAGATCTAGCCACCACACTCTAGCCTGGGCAACAGAGTGAGAATCTGTCTCTCAAAAAAAAAAAAAAAATTAACAAATGTGGTATTTTAAGAGATTATATATATTAAACATGATGTGATTCAAGGTTTCATATTTTGTGGACTGCAATGACCTTGATAATAGACCTTTCAGGAAGGTAGGCAGCTAGGGAATCTCAGAACCAGGAAAGGAAAAAGAGAACATTCAGCCCAGTGCAGTGGCTCACCACGCCTGTAATCCCAGCACTGTGGGAGCCAAGGTGGGCGGATCACTTGAGGTCAGGAGTTCAAGACCAGCCTGGCCAACATGGTGAAACCTTGTCTCTACTAACAATACAAAATTAGCCGGGCACGGTGGTGGATACCTGTAATCCCAGCTACTCGGGAGGCTGACACATGAGAATCACTTGAACCTGAGAGAGAGAGGTTGTCGTGAGCCAAGACTGTGCCACTGTACTCCAGGCTGGGCAATAGAGTGAGACTGTCTCACAAAAAAATAAAAAAGGATCATTCAAGAACTAGACACTTACTGAGTACTCTGTGAGCATCAGGTAACAAATCAGACCCTAGGGTTATAAGGAAGATCCATCAAGTGGGCCCAGAGTAGGTAAGGATCTCACCCCTACCAGTGATAACAGATTTAAAGTTAAAGCTAGACCACTGACTCCCAGAGTTTTCCAAAATCCCAGTGCTCTTTCCACTAGAACAATGCCTCTCAAATGTTGACTGCACTTATAGTAAAAAATACATTCTGAAGCACCACTCAGTATAAACACATGCATTTCTGATATATTCTATTGAATTCTATTTTATTTCACATTCTTAAAATGTTCATCTTCACATACTAAATTGGTTTTACGGCTCAAAGGTTACAAGACATTGCTCTCGAAATACATTTTTGAAACTTTCCGTAGAATTTCAAAGTCAGAAATAATTCCTAAAAATTACTTTTTGTCACACAATGAATATGTATCCCTCCCCGAAAAGCAGGACACTATCAAATAATCACATAACCCAGAAAGACAGGGCAGCTGTCAGTTGGGGAGCAGGAGGTAACTAAACGTAATCTCCATCAGCTTTCCCTAAAGCCCCCCCCAAATAATGCCCCAATTTAAGGAAAACTGTTTGCTACGTAAAAACAGCTTGGCAGCAAGTCCCCTGGCATTTCAGCTCCCTTCCAGCCAGACTTTGGCCCATGACTCTCTCTCACCCTATATAAAAATAAAAATTCTGGAGTTTCTATTAACAGTAAATATTTTTAAAGTATTTCATGCACAGTCTTCTTTTTTTTTTTTTTTTTTTTTTTTTTGAGACAGGTCTCTGTCGCCCAGATTGGAGTGCAGTGGCATGATCACAGCTCACTGTAACCTCGAACTCCTGGGCTCATGTGATTCTCCCACCTTGGCTTCCCAAGTTGTTAAGATTACAGGCATAAGCCACTGTACCTGGCTAAGACTTTAATTAAATGTGTTTGGATGACAATTCCTTTATTAAAATAAGTAAATGAAAATAAAAATAAACTATTTTAAATAAATAGAATACATTTTGTTTGGTATGAAATCTTTCTCTGACATTTACCAATCATCACTTAAACTCCGGGGGGTGGGGTACTGATTTATCCTAGATCCAAATAAAGCATGCAGAAGTGGATCATTAGTTAAGCTAGTATCTCTTTTGGTTTGCCCTTGAAATATTAAGACAAAGGCAATATAAAGCATTTCCTCAACGTGAGATATCTGTACAGCACTTCCTACTAAAGAAAATGTGAAAACAGGCCAGGGGCGATGGCTCACGCCTATAATCCCAGCACTCTGGGAGGCCAACGTGGGCGGATCACAAGGTCAGGAGTTTGAGACCAGCCTGGCCAACATAGTGAAACCCCCATCTCTACTAAAAATACAAAAATTAGCTGGGTGTGGTGGCACACGCCTGTAGTCCCAGCTACTCAGGAGGCTGAGGCAGGAGAATCGCTTGAACTCGGGAGGCGGAGGTTGCAGTGAGCTGAGACTACACCATTGCACTCTGGCCTGGGCAACAGAGCAAGACTCCATCTCAAAAAAAAAAAGGAAAATGTGAAAACAACAATCATTACTACTTTAGTAGCAAGCCGGGGATGAACAAACCCCAGTGTCTTCAGAGTACTTTTTAAAATGTGTAACTTAAAGTCAGAAACAGACCAGAAAATCCCTTTTCCATCTTCTGTGCCTACAGACAGTTCCCCAGCTCTGAGAATGCAAACTAAAGTATAAGAATGTTCATTTAAGTTCTTGGGCTTACTGGCCTCACCATTACTCATCCAAGAAGCATGTATGAATTTACAGGGCTCATTTTTGTGATGAGTTAAGAGATAGTTTAATAAAACTTTAATAAATCTTCTTGTCTTTCACAAAAAAAATCTGTTTAGAACTAAGGAAAGATTTTTTAATAAAAATAAAATTTAGTTTTCCTAAGAAAAGAAAACCATGCTTACTATATCAGCTTTGTCCAGTAGTACTTGCTGTGATGATAGAAGTGTTCTGTATCTGCACTGTCCATACAGTAGCCACTAGCCACCTAGTACTGAGCACTTGAAATGTGGTTGGTGTGCCTGAGGAGCTAAATGCTAAATTTTATTTCATTTTAATTAATTTAAATTTAAACAGTGACATGCAGCCAGTGGCTACTATATGGGGCTGTGTAGGTTAGATAATCAACATAAGTCCTCATCAGCAGAGCTGAGTAATTCACTCATATTACACGGAATGTCATAATTTGGAAAAAGATATATATATATATATATATTCATTCTATACCAATATACCAATATTCAATTTTTAGCTTCCTAATTAGTATTTAAGGTTTCCTCATAAGTGGTTTCTCAACAAAGTTTTGGCAATTTTTATTCTAAAACATGAACATACTTAATCTGCTGAGCAGAATTCCTTTGGCAATGTTCAATTTTCCATCTGTGAAACTTGGGCATAGGGAAAAAAGAACTTCTTCACAAGCCCACCCTCCTATTGATGTAAAGGGAAGAAGTGAAATATATTATCTAAAGAAAGGCTAATATAACACCTGACATTATTTTATGGGTACACCTGTTCATCAACCTCTGCTTAGATGTGCTTCTTTAAACTCAGCTGAGGCTTTCAACCAAATTCATTCCTACATTTGTTTGACTTCTTGACTATTTTCTTTTATGATCAGACTATGACCAGGCTCTCTGAAATCAAGTATTCTACCTATAGGAAAACCTTTTAAAATATATACATTAAAACAGTCTATATTTAAATGAGACAAACTGATCAAATTGTCAAAATTCAGTAGCCTGAAGAAGAGCAGATGCTTCAGAGAGACTAAAATATGCAGATCATGCCAAGACCACATTCCAAGCAGGTGGCAAAAGAAATTACACAGTTCTATAGTCAGCAAGGAAGAGATACCCCAAGAAAATATGCTGAAAAATACATTGCAGCTATGCTATGGCCATAGGACAACTAACTTTGACTTCAAGCAGCACCACTGCACTCCCAATCTCAAGGTCAATGCCAAATTAATTTTACCTTCCCACCATGCTAACAATTAAATACACTATACACACGCACAAACATTTCAGTAATTTCATTTTAAGCAGAATGAACTTCTAGAACGGGTTTCTGAAAATACTATAAGCTAATTTAAAACAAGCAAACTTAAGTATACTATACAAGAATAAAGCCACTAGTACCATATAACATATATTTGGGAACACTCAAACTATACCAAGCCAAGCAACTCTAAGACAGCAGTGCAATTCAGGTAAGAATTCAGCACCATAGATTAGAACTTCGTTTTTTCTCTACCACTGCTATTGCTACCACCAAGTCCTAAAAAAGGGCTAGAAGCACACCTACTATATCCAAAAAGCATTGGAATCTCAACAAGACAGATGACAAGGAAGCAACGCATACACTATCCCAGGGGCTTCAGCTCTTGCATTATTATGCCACTGCCTGAAGGAGAAATAAATAAATAAATGCCACTGCCTGAAGGAGAAAAGGCTTCATCTGGGGCAACTGAGAATACTCAGACATAGCAAGGGTCTGTCAGACTCCATAAAAGCTGTATACTATCAGTCCTTCTCTTGCGTGTGTGGATAAAATGTGCAGGTGCAGCCTAGGCAGGAAAGAGGGAGACAGAATTTCAGATGGAGAACTGCCATACTGCTTGACCCTGGGAGTACCCCTCCTCACTCTGCCAAGCTATGAACTACAGCCTCTACTGACCACAGCATCTGCATGATCTTCAAGGAGCCTGCCTATCAGGTAGGAATTTCTGTGCTAAAAGCCTCCACATCTGACAAGTGCTAAAAACCTCTATGATTTTTTCATTATCTTAATTCTTAAGGGAAAAAAATCAAATAAATACAATAAACGATACAGAATTTTCACAGCAAGGGCATAAGTTCTCAAAGCATATAAGGTTTATCTCAGAAAATAAACACTTCTCATTTAGTTCTATAAAAGTCCACTTCTGAATAGTGTTACTCTTGCTTCCCCAAATGCAATTTAAAGGCAGAAATCACAATCTATTTAAAGACACTCAGAAGATAAATTAGCTTAACAAAGTTAACTTAATTTTTTATATTTAATACTCTCAGATTTATGAGATAAAATATAGATTCTAATAAACAAAAGAAACATACGTAAGAGAAAAGAAAGCCATTTTTGCTTGCTCAAAAGGCTAACAGTACAATATCACGTTAAATGATGAAGAAACTTATTAAACTATCTTAGCACAAATATGGTCCCATTCTTTTTCTAAATTTCCAATGTTTATGGGCATCTTCCATGAAATAGATGAAATATCTTACATCTTCACTTTATAAGCTCTCGAGTCCTATACAACGCACTCCTATTCCTCTACCAGAGCTTTTGCAGACCAGTTTTAATAAATGTATGTCAATCACAATAAAAACACTAAGAAATTTACCAATACATAATTATGAAATTATACTTCTGAAAACATTGGTCTTCCTGAGATTCTGAAGAGAAACCCAATAGAACTGTTTTCTTTTTATTTTTTTCAATAGTGAAGACATGAAAGCATCCTCAACCCAAAGTGTAATATACATTTAATCATGGTTCCTGACAAATTTTTTCTTATGCATTAAAGAAAAGTGTTCTCACTCTTACCTGTATATCCAGCATACCATCCCCAGGAAGCTACCATTCCTAAAAGCCATTTATACATGATTCCTTCGATATACCAGAACCGCTTACTGTCCAGCACTCGAAGGGGCTGAAGTATAATTACATAGCAGATGTAGGATGGAATAGCAACCAGGTTGTTGACGACCATGAAGGCAAACCTCATCAGTGCTTTCACCAAGAGCCAGCCCAGCCACGGAGCTTCTTCCAAAGTTATAGCCATTCTCACACTGGACTCCGTCCTGTCTTTCTGGGGTGAAAGAAAAATTCACTTAAAAAGGAAAATTCATTAAATACATCTAAACAGTCACCAACATAGAAATCGCCCCCAGCACAAAATAAAACAGCGAGGGTCGAAGCTTTCCGGGTGTAGTACCTCGGTGATCTCTCAGGGGAAATTCCAGAGGGGGACAGAGAGCGAGGGAGGAGGAGCCGCACAAGGTCAAGGGAGCTGTTCACCGAGGCACGAAGTATGTCACAATATATTTAGCAAATGATAACACAATTCCCATTCAGTAATCGGTGGCCGTCCCCGCACCGTGTCTCACTGCGGTCGTCTATTGGACTTAGAAAAATAGATCCACTCGCTTCAGACAACCTCAGGATCTCCAAACTGAAGACACAAGTGACATGACCGAAACAGGGTCCCCTCAATAAGATTTCCCAGATACTGAGGACCTCAGTCTCCTCACCACCACGATTCCTGCACACCGATGCATTCCTTTAAAAGGTCTCTGGCTCTAGCGAAGAGTTACCCTCAAAATTCTCATTTGTAGCAATAGGGTTTTTGTTTCCCTTTTTTTTTTAAGAAAAAAAATGGGGGGCCTAGAAAAAAAGCTTACAAGGTGAGAGGAAGAAAGTAGGGGGTTATAATGCGAAAAAGAGGAAGGACAGGAGTAGGGGGAAGGGAGCAAAAGCCAGAAAGAGGTAAAAGCCAAGGAACTGGGGATGAAGAGAATGAGATTTCCGACCAGAGGGCAAGGAAGCAGGGGATGATGAAAGGGGCAGAGAAGAGGCGACCGCAGCGCGGGGAGCCGGTGGAGCCTGCAGCGGTTTCCGCGGATGTGGAAGGGTCGTGGCGGCGGGCGCGGCCCGCGCGCCGGGCTCACCTCGGCGGGCGCGGACGGCGGGCGGCTGCGGAGAGCGGGGGCGGGTGTCCCCCGCCGAGGGGTCGCGGTCATGGACGCGGTGGCGGCCCAAGCGGCCCGAGGCGCTGCGCGAGCGGGCGCGCTGGCGCCCTACTCCCCTCGCGGCTGCCTGCGGACAGAGGGACGGCGGGGACTCAGAGGCCGGACCTGTCACCCGGGCGGGTCCCGGGGAGGCGGGCGGATGCCCCGCGCCCCCGCCTCCTCCCCGGGGCCTACCGCGCCCTCGTCCCTCAGGCCGCTGCCGCCTCCCCGGGCCACGCGACGACGACACCCCCTTCCCCGCCCCCAGCGCCTCCCCTGGCCCGGCTCCGCTGCCGCTCTGGGGCCTGCGACCGCGGAGCCGGAGGTTACCTCGGGCTGGCCGGGCCCCAGCCGGGGCTTTGGGAGTCAGAGGAGCCGGAAGAATGCATGGCCGGCGGCGGGGCCGGCGGAAGAAGGCGGTGGCGGGGCCCTGCCCCGCTCCGGCTGTGGCGCGGCCCGCGCCCGTTCCCCGGCGGCGCCGAGACTCGGTCCCCAAGGGCCCGGCCGCGTTCGCCCGGACTGGCGGGGAGGGGCGGCGGGAGGAAGCGGCGGGAGTCGGGACTGCGGCGGAGCCGCTCCCACAGCGCCCTCTAATGAAAGCGCCGCCGCCGCTGCCTGGCCCGCTTGCCCCGCCTGGCCCGCTCCCCCTACCCCTGCGCCAGCGAGTCGGGGCCCTCGGGGCTACCTGGACGCTCGGCCAGGACCTCAGTGAGTCCAGAACATACTGAGGGAAAGGGCCGCTCGGAAAGATCTAGGAATGAACACCCATCCTCACACCCCAGGAGTGCCTTGGTTTCAGTTGAGAGCCCCCTTTCAGCCAACACGGCCGCCTTTCATTGTTAGGGCTCTCTTCTCTGCCCAAACTAGGAACCTGTCTCCTTGACGGCTAAATGTCCACTTTTCATTCTTAATGAAACCCGGTTGCACTCATGGCTTTTCTTCTTAACCTCTGCAGTGTATTATTGTCTAGAGTTTCAAATTCATTCTTTTTACGGTCAAAAGTCTTGTTTCAGGAAAGCAGCTGGAACATTAATGGCAATTCCACTTTCCCATTCATCGCCCCCGCCCCCACCACCCCACCAAGAAACTCAGTGGGAATGAATGGTCTACACAGAGAAACTGAAATCTGGTTAGTCAAGAAGGAAAAAACAACCAAGTGCCTGGCATTAAGTAAGTACTCACCCGCCCGCCCTCCCCCGCCCGCCATAAAAAGAAAAACCGAAAAGACAAAAAACAGTGGCCATGGGAACTCCTAGACAGACCCCGTCACTTGGGATACTATAGCTGCATTCTGGTTCAAAGGCTGGACCACCTGAAGGAAAATAGAGAAATAGTCCATTGACCTACCCCCTTGAGCATTCTTAAATGATCTGCCTAAATTTTAGTTTTTAAAAATCCTGTTTATAAAACCTTATGTCCCTTAAGCACATTTGTAAATGGAGGGGATGGGGCAGGGCAGATTTCACACTCCCTAGGGAACTGCCATATTTGAATCAGAATGCCACCTATTCTGCCTATTTTGAAAATGTTCATCACAGCGTTTGCTCTGGACTCTCAACTTTCTCTAATTTCAGTTCCTCTTAGGTCCACAGGTGAAGGAAAGATATGCCCCATTCTATTCCTTGCATTCTCTCTTTATTGACAAGGTAGTAAGATCTTTAAATAAATCTCATGAGAGAGATAATATATATACTTTATTATTCAAAATATGTCATTATATTCTTCAGTAAGATAGGTGAGGTACATATTTATTTCCACAATCAAGAATAAACTCTAAGGATTCCATCTGGTCCATGCAATTCAGCTTTCCCACATGCTGCGTAAACGTTGGCTGACACCTGGAGAGAGATAACCTACAATGGGATTTACACGTGATTCCTGGATCAGGGACCATCTGCCAGAGGACCAGACACAGCAGCACTTGATGAAATGCAATTAGTACCAGGCCCAGAATTCATTTTCAGGCTCAGAAAAGAGCCAGAGGTTGGGCAGGACCTCTGGCTCTTTAGTGTACAAAAACAACACTTGAAGTGTCTACCAAAGAGACAGATTCTTCAGCATCATACCAGAACATTTTAATAATCTAGGTCCAGTGGACCTGAGAACCTGCTTTTTAAAAAGCGTCATAGGTGATTCTGATGCAAGTAGTATGCAGACCTTGCTTTAAGAAACCCTGACTTAGAGGTATTCTGAGATGATCACATTCTCTTCTAGACCCTTCATAATTTTAAATCATTTGATCATATGTGTTCTCATGTGTGTTAGTCAGCTAGAGCTGCCATAACAAAATACTGCAAACTGGGTGGCTTAAACAACAGAAACTTATTTTCTCGAAGTTCTGAAGGCCAAGATCAGAGATCAAAGTGTGGGGAGGTCTGGTTTCTTCTGAGGCCTGTCCCCTCGGCTTGCTGATCACCATCTCTCATTGCAGAATTCTGCCATTTCAGTACCTCCTTATGGAAGGAGTAGGGAATACCTAATCTCCTTGATCTTTTCAGATATCCTCATATTAACTGCTTCCAACCTCATTGGACTTTTCTTGAAACTCAACCAACAGTACAACACATTATGTTCCAGGTATAGATATGCCCTGGTTTTGTGCCAAGAGTGTAGGAGAGGGGTTATCTTCTTAACTTTCTGACCACAATATCAGTTTCAAGATAATTCAGCTGCTATAATAGATAAGAAACTGTTAGGGCTGACTTCTTAAGGGAACAATTTCAGATGATGCTTGTGTTTATTTCTTGCATTTCGAAGTTCGTTTTAGTTAGTTTTACCTTCCTCTTGCCTATACTACAATTTTTTTGCCCTGCCTCCTTTCAACCACTTAGGAAGCCTCCTGAGATTGTTCCATAGCCTATTTTATTGCACCATGGACAGAGAGATGTATGAATGCTCTGAATGACTGTAACAGGAAGATTGGAACAGCCAGTTCTCCAGGGTAGACTGTTCTGTGGAAAACAAGGATCTTCTTCAATGACTAGTTAGCTTCTAGTCCCCTATCCTGCTACCTTAGAGCCATCTTTATCAAAACACAAACATGAAGCCAACAATTTCAACACCTTCATGTACACTCCAATAGAGAAAAGAGGGAAATGAACAGACCCCACCCTATAGCCACAGACATTATTGTTTCTGTTTCAAAAGCCCACATTTGAACCACAAGAGAATGGTCCTTTGAAAAAGAAAGAGGATTTCTTACATTTCTTGGAATCGCCAGTCATTTGAAAGCAATATAACCACAATACCTTAGAAGGTTGAATTCCACCCATCTAGTCCACATACACACAACAAATTAGGTTATAACCAGGGAGAGGTTCCCTTGGGCAGAAGAGTACCCCCTGGGCCCTCTCTTTTTCCTAGTGGCAATTATAAAAACATTTTACCTACCTGTGTTGGTTTCTGCACTAAAGCTCCAGTGAACTATTTCCTGTCTAGGGAGAAACCCTACCAGCAATAACCTTCAATGACTTGGCACAGGCCCCCTACATTGCTAGGAAACAGTTGCAGGCTTGAAATCAGCAGCCCAAAAGAGTCATGCATTCTGACTGTTGTCAGCTTTAACTTCAAACAAAAAATGGAAATATATATGGATGTTCTCTTCTATATTCATGTCAATAATTATTTTATATAAAATGCTCCAGGGCTTATAACCTTAAAATTTTTCAGATAGGGTGAGCCAAATCATCCACACTTGGCTGAGTGTGGTGGCTCACACCTGTAATCCCAACACGTTGGGAGGCTGAGTCAGGCAGATCACTTGAGGTCAGGAGTTTGAGACCAGCCTGGCCAACATGACGAAAACCTGCCTCTACTAAAAATACAAAAATTAGCCGAGCGTTATGGCACCCGCCTGTAATCCCAGCTACTCGGGAGGTTGAGGCACGAGAATTGCTTGAACCTGGGAGACAGAGGTTGCAGTAAGCCTAGATCATGCCACTGTACTTTAGCCTGGGCGACAGAGCAAGACTCTGTCTCAAAGAAAAAAAAAATCCTCCAGACTTGACTGCAACTCTCAGCCATTTCAGCAATTCTTTTTATTAACATGATTGACCCTAAACAATACTATAAAGTAAACAATTGTGTCTCCTCCATGCTCCTCTCCTGTTCGGCTAGCTTCTCTTTTCCCTTCTTAAGGCTAAAATTATCCCTAGTTTCCAAAGGGCCCTGAAGACTCCACATGAGGCCTCCCCCTGCTCCCCAAACAGATAATACTCTAAGCTAGAACCTTCTTTCTCACCTGTCCAATGTTATGTTTCCTTGGCTCAATCCTTATCTCCCCTTCCTGGTGTGGTCAGCTAATCCATGACAAGGGGCTTATGGCTAAAAAATGGAAGAGAGAACTCTCTTCCTAAAGCATTAGTATTTTATACAGAAACTAAAACCCCCAAAGCCTTAATGTATTTCTGCTGGCAGATTATCAGGTATTGTAATGGATGAGTATATTTGTAAGATGTTTTGGAGAAGGATATTTTGGCAAGTTCTTCTACTCACAGAACCTATAAAATCACATAGTACACCTATGAATAAGACATAGTTCACTCACTCATAGGTGGGAATTGAACAATGAGAACACATGGACACAAGAAGGGGAACATCACACACTGGGGACTGTTGTGGGGTGGGGGGAGCGGGGAGGGATAGCATTAGGAGATATACCTAATGCTAAATGATGAGTTAATGGGTGCAGCACAGCAACATGGCATATGTATACATATGTAACAAACCTGCACGTTGTGCACATGTACCCTAAAACTTAAAGTATTAAAAAAAAAAAAAGAATCCTAACATTTAGAATAGAATTTTAAAATGCCAAAAAAAAGCAAATTCAAAAAAAAAGACATAGTTCAGATTTAAACTTGCATTTTCATAACATAAGATTCAAAATATTACGTTAAAATAATAATAATCACTGGCACTTATTGATCACTTTCAACAATCCAGGCCATGTTCTTGGTGCTTTACATACATTAATTCATTTAATCTTCACGATGACTTTTTTTTTTTTTTTGAGACAGGATCTCGCTCTGTCTCCCATACTGGAGTGCCGTGGCCTGATCTCCGGCTCACTGCAACCTCCACCTCCCAGTCTCAAGCAATCCTCCCACTTCAGCCTCCCAAGTAGCTGGGACTACAGATGCATGCCACCACGGCCAGCTAATTTTTTTGTATTTTTTGTAGAGACAGGGTTTTGCCATGTTGCCCAGGCTGGACTTGAACACCTGAACTCAGGAGATCCACCTGCCTCAGCCTCCCAAAGTTCTGGGATTACAGGCATGAGCCACCGCACCTAACCCACAATGACTTTAAAAGGACCGTATTGTTACCCACGTTGTACAAATGGGGAGATTAAGCTATTTGCCCTGATTTCTACCCTGTTCCTCTGTCCTCACCTGCATCTCCAGGAGACCACTGAATCTCACATCTCAAGCTTTCTTTCATGTTGTAACTTCAAGTCCTATCATTGACAGCAAGCCCCTAACTTCTGGAAACTTTTATCTCCTAAGTACCTAAGTTTCTGAATTTCCCCACAAATATATATATATATATATATATATATATATATTTTTTTTTTTTTTTTTTTTTTTTTTTTTTTTTGAGGCAGAGTCTTGCTCTTTCACCCAGGCTGGAGTGCAGTGGCGCAATCTTGGCTCACTGCAAGCTCTGCCTCCTGGGTTCACGCCATTCTCCTGCCTCAGCCTCCTGAGTAGCTGGGACTACAGGCGTCCGCCACTATGCCTGGCTAATTTTTTTGTATTTTTAGTAGAGACGGGGTTTCACCCTGTTAGCCAGGATGGTCTTGATCTCCTGACCTCGTGATCCACCCACCTCAGCCTCCCAAAGTGCTGGGATTACAGGCGTGAGCCACCGCACCCGGCCCCCAACAAGTTAAAAAAAAAAATAATTGGAACATCTTTGTTCTAGTGTTGGGGTGGTGTAATTTAGTGGTATTTGACAAGAGAAAGGAATTTTTTTTTCTTTTTTGTAGAAAAGGAAGACAGGGCGGGATGTGGTGGCTCACGCCTGTAATCCCAGCACTTTGAGAGGCTGAGGTGGGCAAATCACTTGAGTCCAGGAGTTCGAAATCAGCCTGGGCAACATGGTAAACCCCATCTCTACTAAAAATACAAAAATTAGCCAGCTGTGGTGGCACATGCCTGTAATCCCAGATACTCAGAAGACTGAGGCATGAGAACTGCTTGAACCTGGGAGGTGGAGGTTGCAGTGAGCCAAGATCATGCTACTGCACTCCAGCCTGGGTGACAGAGCGAGACTCTTCTCTCAAATCTCTCTCTCAAAAAAAAGAAAGAAATAAAGAAGGAAAGAAGGAAGGAAAGGAACACAGAGTAATTCCACTTATGAACGGGGAAAATAAGTTGTGGAGAACTTATGCAGCTTGTTCATCATAGAGTAGACCAGAAATCAAGTTGGCATGGTATCGAGGTGACCAGCTCATCCTGGCTTACCCAGGACTTTACCCATAGTTTTACTATTGAAAGTCCCGCATCCCAGGAAATTCCTCAGTCCTGGCAAATGGTTGGTGGCCCTACGTGTGGTCTCCTGACTCCTGGGTCCCCATACAGTCCCTTAGGTTACAGAGATCCAGCCTCCCTGCTCCCCTCCCTCCCCACGTTTTGATCTGCTCTACCTATTCCCTGATGATCTGATGTATCAGAGATTAACAAGACATTCAGGGTTGATAGTGGTGTTTAATGTTTCCTCTAAACCATATTAGTTGTCCTTACCTGGGTTAAATTTCCCCCTCTTATCCAAGCCTTCTGTCGTATAGCTTGGCTCTTTCCATGCTTCTCATCACATCGGCTTAAATCGTAAGGGATTTGAGCAGAACTTTTCTCTCTGTTCCTACTCCAACTGTATGTTTAAGATTAATTTATCATTTTGGGGCTAAGCCTATTGGCTAATACTCTGTTGTAATGAAAGTCATGCCACCTTGCATTTCTCCAGTGCTTTTCAGTTGACAAAGTTCTTACACACACACACACACACACACACACACACACACACACACACACACACACACAATCTTGTTAGATGCTATCAATAACTCCCTTAAGTAAGCAGGTACTTATTGGTTAAAAGAAATAAGAATAAGGTTAAGGAAAGAATTTCTTTACAAGTGATTTTCTCTTGAAATGTCTTCAAGAAATATTTTATGAAACACAATTTCAAACCTTTTGTTTCTCTTAAATTTTATCTTCAAAGCATAAGCTGAAGTAGAGATCTGAATTAATTTGGAACCAGCTGCTGGGAAGCCTACAGCCATGAGAAATCCCAAAGTGGGGCGGGGGAGGTTCTCCTGCTCTAAGTGCTATGAATCAAACAAAGCTATGGGCAAAAGAGTGATGCTAAAATGCTGCAGCTTAAAGTATGGGATTTAAAAAAACTTAGAACCATTCAAGTTATATTAATACATTGTTCAGTTTCTTAAGTTTTGGTAGTTTCAGTTACTCCATGTTATGCTGAACTGAATGGCATTATTTCGAAAAGCTGCCTACTCATAAACAGGCCTAATCATAAAAATCATCTAGGGTTCTTTTTAAACTCAGATATTAGTGTATATGAAGATCTACTAGAGAGTTTGCTAAAATGCAGATTCTGGGGTCCCATCTCAGAGATTCTGATCCCATAGGTCTGAAGTGAGATCCAGGGATCTTTTGCTTTAAAATGCATCTTCATGTGATCTGGGGCAGATAATCTGAGGATCTCCACAGCCTTGCTATTTACATCTGCCAACATTGGCATCACCTTGGATATTTTATTTTATTTATTTTTTATTTATTTATATTTAAGTTTATTTATTTATTGAGACAGGGTTTCACTCTGTTATCCAGTGGTGTACTGGAGTACAGTGGTGTGATCTCAGCTTACTGCAACCTCTGCCTCCTGGGCTCAGGTGATCCTCCCACCTCAGCCTCCCAAGTATCTGGGACAACAGACACACACACTACCATGCGTGGCTAATTGCATGTTTTTTGTTGTTGTTGTTTTTTGTTTTTTGTTTTTTGTTTTTTTGGTAGAGGCAGGGTTTTGCCCAAACTGATCTCAAACTCCTGGCCTCAAGCGATCTTCCTGCCTTGGCCTCTCAAAGTGCTGGGATTACAGGCATGAGCCACTGCACCCAGCCCCACCTAGGATATTTTAGAAATACAGAATCTCAGGCTCCACCCTGGATCTCCTGAATCAGAATCTGCATTTTAATAAGATTCCTAGGTGATCTGTATGCATATAAAGTTTGAGAAGTAGTGCCCTACAATATAGCAAATACCACCACATCGATTCAGAAATTGAAACCAAGTGAGAGCTCTAAGTGGATAACCTGGAACAATGGGGGCTTTCAACATGTACTTAATGGTGGAGTGTGATGGCTCCCACCTGTAATCCCAGCACTTTGAGAGGCCAAGAGTTTGAGAACAGCCTGAGCAACATAGCGAAATCCTGTCTCTACAAAAAATTAGCTCAGCATGGTGACATGCACCCGTAGTCCCAGATACTGGGGAGGCTGAAGCAGGAGAAGTGTTTGAGCCTAGGAGTTTGAGGTTGCGGTGAGCCATGATTGCACCACTGCAGTTCAGCCTGGGCAACAGAGGGAGAACCTGTCTCCAAAAACAATAAAATAAAATCAAACATGTACTTAATAAATATTCATTAGGTGCCTGTATTTTCACAAGAGAAGGGGAGAGGGACTACACAAGTCCCCTGGTGTAAACTAACACTGAAAAATCCTGAATAAAGCAGTGTTCCACATAAGAATTAAAGGAGTTAAGTAAGGCTATTTTATATATTAATCAGTAAGTATTTATTAGGTGCTTGCTATGTACCCACAACTTTGCTTTTTCCATTCTATTTGGGGGACAGAAAGCTAACATAGAGGAAACTTTTAGAGGATAACCTCCTCTAAAATGAGCTAATCAGTAAAGTGTGGGTAGAATTTATGTAGGTTGACAGGAAGCCCTCCCAAGTAGGAGAAAAAGCAAGGAGAGTAAAATAGAAAATGAGTTTGATATGTCTGGGAAACAGAGAGGTGAGTGGCCCATTGTGGCAATGGTTTAAAATGACTGAGAGGTGGAAAACTAGAACATTATGTAGGATGAAACTAAATTGTAGATAATTTTGAAAGTCATAAGTAGAACCTGCTCTAGCGTGTGTTTGGCAGATGCTGTTATTTCCCCTAATGTCCATTCTTTCTTTCTTCCTTATAGGAGGATTTTTTTTTTAAGCTCAGCCTATGGACAACAAAAGCATGGACTGTATTTCTCAGCATCTTTTGCAGTAAGATCTGATCATATGATTATAATCTGGCCAATGAAATATAAACAGAAGTGTCAGCTGTGACTTCTCTAGGGTATCCTTAGAGGATGAGGGACACATCTTCCTTTTTCCTGTTAACTAAATAGGGATGAGGAAACTGGAGCCCAGGTAGCCATTTTGGACCTGAAGGTGGAAGTCAAGCTAGGGAGAGCAAACAACACGTGTGTGGATCCCTGATGATCAGGTCATCCTAATCCTGAACTGCTTTCCTCTGGTCTCTTTAACAGGAGAGACCAGAGGAAAACCATGAGAGAGAGGTAATTTTCTATCCCACTTAAGCCACTATTGTACTTTGGACTTTCTTGTCATGTACAGCCAAGCCTAATTATAACTAATAAAACATGCAATTGAAAGACAAAAATGCAAGGGTTTATGCATCAGGTACCATTCTGGTTGCATCTCTTACAAACTCTATGTGGTAATGGATTAGTTACCTAATCTCTTTAAGCCTTTGTCTCCTCGCATGTAAAATAGGAAGAATGTCCCTCAAGGGTGATTGTGAGGTGCAAATTATATTAAATTTATAAAGTATTTAGCACAGTGCTGGTGCATAGTATACTCTTAATAAATGTACCTTTTCTAATTATATACAAGGGCAGATCAGCAGACCAGTATGGGACACAGTGATATCTGTGGAAATATACAGGGCATCCACATCTATAAGATTACCATGACACTAATGGGTATTATGATTTGGAAGGTGAATAGATTAGAGGCAGGGAAATGCTTCAGAAATCTCAAGTCTGACCTGTGACATTAGCAGTGGAACTGAAGTGGATATTTATTGAACCCCTTTTTATATGTGCCAGGCACATTCTAGGAGTCAAATCCACAGTGATAAACAAAACACACATGGTTCTTACACTCAAAGAGTTTACAGGCTGGTATGGGAGTCAGACATAAAACTACTAATGGAAAATTATAGAATGACAAACTGAGGCACGTGACCTGAGGGAAAGGAACAGAATATTCTGAGAGCTTGTACTAGAGGAACCTAATGTAGTGAATTGCAATTAAGCTGGGATGTGAAGGATGAACCTGAGTTAACTAAGAGAGGCAGAAAGTACATCCTCTGAAGGGAAATGAAGGGCAAAGGCCATGTGGTGAAAAAGATCACAATGAATTCTCAAAATTAAGATAAAACCAGTGCACCCACAGTGGTGAGTCCAAGGGGATCCTAGTCTGAGATGAGCTGGAGAGGTAGGCAAGAGATACACTCTATGGGGCCTCACAGACCATCATAAAGGGTTTTATTCCAAGGATGACTGGAAGGTGCTGGCAGGTTTTGAGCAGAATCCTGGGGTGCCCAACCATCCCAGTTTGCCTAGGACTGAGGGATGTGAGACTTTCAGTGCTAAAATTGGAACAGCCCCAGGCAAACCAAGGGATTGGTCACCCTCACAGTTATATGATCTGATTTTTTCCTAAATATTACATTTTGGCTGTCTTACAGAAAACTAGCTGTAGGAAGGAAGGAGTGCAATTGATAAGACAGTTAGGAGATTATTGCAGTATCCAGACAAGAGAGGATGGTAGCTTGGGCTAGGGTGATGACGGTGGAGTTGAGGGAAAAAGGATGGGCTTGAGAGAAATTTAGGGGTAAAATTGGCAGGTCATGGTGAGAGATGGAAATGCTGCTTCTAAGACTGCATGGATTAACTCAAGTACAAGAGTGAGATCTGGATTCAAATTCTACATAGGACTACTCTAATTTATTTACTCTTGAGCACTAAAACACTGGGGTCTATATAAGAGGATTTTTCTTTATCCAAAGTACAAGCATACCTCTGAGATAATGCAATTTTGGTTCCAAACCACTGCAATAAAGCGAGTGATAAAATATTTTTTGTTCCCAGTGCATATAAAAGCTATGTTTACATTACGCTGTAGTCTATTAAGTGTAAAGTAGCATTATGTCTAAAAAATTTTAAAATACTTTATTGTTGAAAAATGCTAACAGTTATGAGTCTTCAGCAAGCTGTAATTTTTTGCTGGTGAAGGGTCTTGCCTCCATGTTGATGGCTACTGGTTGATCACAGTGATGGTTGCTGGAGGTTGAGGTGCTGTGGCAATTTCTTAAAATAAGACAGCTATGAATTTTGCAGTATTGATTGACTCTTCCTTTCATGAAAGCTTTCTCTGTAGCATGCTATGCTGTTAGATAGCATTTTATTCGCAGTGGAATTTCTTTAAAAATTGGAGTCAGTCCTCTCAAACCCTGACGCTGCTTTATCAACTAAGTTATGTAATATTCTAAATCCTTTGTTGTCATCTTGACAATGTTCACAGCATCTTCACCAGGAGAAGTAGATTTCATCTCAAACAATTACTTTCTTTGCTCATCCATAAGAAGCAATTCCTCATCCAATCAAGTTTGATCATGAGATTGTGACAATTAAGTCACATCTTCAGGCTCCACTTTTCATTCTAGTTCTCTTGCTATTTCTACCATATCTGCAATGACTTCCTCCATTGAAGATTTAAATCCCTCAAAGTCATCCATGAGGGTTGGAATCAACTTCTTCCAAACTCTTGCTAATGTGGATATTTTGACCTCCTCCCATGAATCACATTCTTAATGGCATGTAGAATGGTGAATCCGTCCCAGAAGATTTTCGATTTACTTTTCCCTAATCCATCAGAGGAATCACTATCCATAGTAGATATAGCCTTATGAAATATATTTATCTTCAGTAATAGAAACTGAAAGTCAAAATTACTCCTTGATCCATGGGCTGCAGAATGGATACTTTGTTAGCAGGCAAGAAAACAACATTAATCTTCTTAAGGAAAGAAGCCATTTCCATAACATAAAGTGCAAAGTGAAGCAGCAAGTGCTGACGTAGAAACTCCATCTGATGGAACAAGAGCTCCATCAGAGCTCTTGGATGATCAGGTGCATTGTCAATGAACAGTAATATTTTGAAATGATTTTTTTTTCTGAGCAGTTAAGTCTCAACAGTGGGCTTAAAATATTTAGTAAGCTATGCTATAAATACATGCACTGTCATCCACGCTTTGTTGTCCCATTGATAGAGCACAGAAAGAGTCAATTTAGTGTAATTCTTAAGGGCTAGAATTTTCAGAATGGTAAATGAGCATTGGCTTCTGCCCAGTCATCAGTTACATTAGTCCCTAACAAGAGCCTTAGTCATCCTTTGAAGCTTTGAAGTCAGGCATTGACTTCTCTCTAGCTGTGAAAGTTCTAGATGGCATCTCCTCCCAATATAAATCTATTCTGTCGACATTGAAAATCTAGGGTGTAGTGTAGCCCCCTTCATCAATCATCTTAGCTAGATCTTCTGGATAACTTGCTACAGTTTCTACATCAGCACTTGCTGCTTCACTTTGCACTTTATGTTATGGAAATGGCTTCTTTCCTTAAACCTCATGAACCAACCTCTGCTAGCTTTCAACTTTTCTTTTGCAGCTTCCTCACCTGTCTCAGCCTTCATCAAATTAAAGAGTTAGGGCCTTGCTCTGGATTAGACTTTAGCTTAAGTAAATGTTGTGGCTGATTTGATCTATCTAGACCACAAACTTTCTCCCTATCTGCAGTAAGCCTGTTTTGCTTTCTTATTCATGTGTTTACTACAGTAGCACTTTTAATTTCCTTCAATAACTTTTTCTTTGCAGTCACAACCTGGGTAACTGGTGAAAAAGGCCTAGTTTTTGGCCTGTCTTGGCTTTCAACCTGCCTTCCTCACTAAGCTTCATTATGTCCAGCTTTTGATTTAAAGTGAAAAATGCAACTCTTCCTTTCACTTTCACTTAGAGGCCATTGTAGGTTAATTGGCCTAATTTCAATTTTGTTGTGCCTCAAGGAATAGGGAGGCTCAAGGAGAGGAAGAAAGATGGGAATGGCCAGTTGGTGGAAAGAACAGAACACACACATTTATCGATTAAGTTCACCCACCTTCTATGAGCAAGGTTCTTGGAACTCCAAAACAATTACAATAGTAACATCGAAGATCACTGATCACAGATCACCATTACAGATATAATAATAATGAAAAGGTTGAAAATATTGTGAGGATTCCCAAAATGTGACACAGAGACAAGAAGTGAGCACATGCTGTTGGAAAAAATGGCACTGTTAGACTTGCTTAACACAGCGTTGCCACAAACCTTCAATTTGTAAAGACTTGCTCAACACAGCGTGGCCACAAATCTTCAATTTGTAAAAAGCACAATATCTGCAAAGCACAATAAAGTGAAGTGCAATAAAACGAGGTATGCTCAAATAAACTATCTGGTCTGAGCCTTGGTTTCCGAAATCAAAGGCTATAAAGAAAAGTTATGTCTCTTTAACTTGCTGCCTTTAGGCATTTCAACCACCTCAGATCACTGTGTTCCCCAAGGAAATTGATCTTCTTTGTAGCCTAACAACCATACCTAACCCCACACAGATTCGCTATAAATGAAGCCAAGAAAATCTTTCACCTAGATATGCTCTAAAATGTTTTTTCCTCCTGCTAGTAAGTGTTCCAGTCGTTTCCATGAGCTACTTATCTAGGTTTATTGGTATGAGAACTGTGCTTCTGGCTGTACTTGCAAATATTCATTGGTTCTATCAGATTTCTAAACTCATGCACTAAACATAGTGAAGGAAATTATTGTTTACTTATGGTTGTCATTGTGGTTTTGTAATAACCTTAACATTCTTTGAATATTTTTCACCTTTTTAATAGGTATAACAGTGTATATGAGTGGACTGCAAAAAGTTCTTAGAAAAATGGAATTAAAAGATAAAAATAAAAAATATAAACTTTATTTCTCAACGTAAGCTCCATCACATTCAAGACACTTTTATCAGTGATGATGCCAGCCATTTTGTCCATCTCTAAAGAACTGAGGGTCCTGGGAACTTAACCATGTCAATGCAGTCTTTTTACTTTACTAACTGAAGAAAATGGGTGCCCTAAGATTGTTAAAGATTAGGAAACAAAAACAAGTCAGAAGGAGCCAAATCAGGACTGTAAGGTGGATGTCTAAAGATTTCCCATCAAGGCCGGGTGTGGTGGCTCACGCCTGTAATCCCAGCACTTTGGGAGGCTGAGGCAGGCAGATCACCTGGAGGTCAGGAGTTTGAGACCAGCCTCAACATGGAGAAACCCCGTCTCTACTAAAAATACAAAATTAGCCAGGCATGGTGGTGCATGCCTGTAATCCCAGCTACTCAGGGGCTGAGGCAGGAGAATTGCTTGAACCTGGGAGGTGGAGTTTGCGCTGAGCCGAGATCATGCCATTGCACTCCAGCCTGGGCAACAAGAGCGAAACTCCATCTCAAAAAAAAAAAAAAAAAAAAGATTTCCCGTCAAAACTCTCACAAAATTGCCCATGTTTGATGAGAGGAATGAGCGGAGGCATTGTTGTGGTGGAGAAGTACTCTCTGGTGAAGCTTTCCCAGGCATTTTTCTACTAAAGCTTTAGCTATCTCTAAACATTCTCATAATAAATAAATGTTGTCATTCTTTTGGCCCCCCAGGAAGTCAACAAGCAAAATGCATTGAGGATCCCAGGAAACTGTTGCCATGACCTTTACTCTTTTTTTTTTTTTTTTTTTTTTTTTTTCAGATGGAGTCTCACTCTGTCACCCAGGCTGGAGTGCAGTGGTGCGATCTCGGCTCACTGCAACCTCCGCCTCCAGGGTTCAAGCAATTCTCTGCCTCAACCTCCTGAGTAGCTGGGATTACAGGCGCCCACCAACACGCCTGGCTAATTTTTTTTTTTTTTTTTTTTTGGTAGAGACAGGGGTTTCACCATCTTGGCCAGGCTGGTCTTGAACTCCTGACCTCATGATCCACCCGCCTCAGCCTCCCAAAGTGCTGGGATTACAGGCGTGAGCCACCATGCCTGGCCTGACCTTTACTCTTGACCAGTCTGCTCTTGCCTTGACTGGACCACTTCAACCTCTTAGCAGCCATTGCTTTGATTGTGCTTTGTCTTCAAGGTCATACTAGTAAAGCTGTGTTTCATCTCCGGTTACAATTCTTCAAAGAAATCCTTCAGGATATTGATCCCACTTATTTAAAATTTCCATTGAAAGCTCTGCTCTTGTCTGCAACTGTTCTCAGCACAACAGTTCTGGCACCCATTGAGTGGCAAGTTTGCTCAACTTTATTTTTTTTTTGAGACGGAGTCTTGCTCTGTTGCCCAGACTGTAGTACAGTGGTGTGATCTCGGCTCACTGCAACCTCTGCCTCCCAAGTTCAAGCAATTCTCCTGTCTCAGCCTCCCCAGTAGCTGGGACTACAGGCACATACCACCACGCCCGGCTAATTTTTGTATTTTTAGTAGAGACGGAGTTTCACCATACTGATCAGGCTGGTCTCAAACTCCTGACCTCACGTGATCCACTTGCCTTGGCCAACTTTAATTTTTCAGTCAGAATTATGTAAGCCAAACCAATTGCGATGTCTATGGTGTTGGCTATTGTTTGTGCTGTTAATCATTGGTCCTTTTCAATTACAGCTTGAACAAGATTATTTTTTCCTTGAAAATTGACATGGATGGTCTGCCACTGTGGGCTTTATCTTCAACATCGTCTCACCCTTCTTATTAATAACACAAGTTATCCACTTGTAAACTGCTGTTTTTTTGGGGCTATCCACTTGTAAACTGCTGTTTTTTTGGGGGCACTGTCACCATAAACTTTTGATAAGGCATCAGTGATTTCAACATTCTTCACCCAAGCTTCACCATAAATTTGATGTTTCTTTTTGCTTCATTTTAGCAGAATTTGTTCCAATAGGGGCTCTTTTCGAACTGATTTTTTTTTTCATTTTTTTCCACTGGGATTTTGAGAAAATCAAACTGATAGCCTTCTTAGTGCCTCAAACTAGATCCTGTTCAGACACAAACAAGTTAGTATGAGTTTGTTTCAGTGAAAAAAAAATTTGAAATTCATGCATAGTTTTTCATAATGTGAATTTTTCATGAACTTTTGGAAGACCTTTTGAATACTTTTTTAATTGCAGCACTCTTTTGCACCATAAAACTAATTGGTGGCTTTACCATTAAGAAGTTGAGCCAAGCAAACAATAATGAAAATGCTTTATGTGGAATAAAAATTTACACTTAAATGCCTTTTTTGCTTCCTTTTTCTCCGTTTATATTTAATCTATTTAATCTATATTTAATTTAATATATTTAATCTGTAATAAGCCCACAGGAGCACTTCTTTGTACTTTTTACATCAATGAAGTACATATATGTTTTCTTTGCAACATAATAATTAGCACATCTTAATTTTATTATGTATTACTATAAAAGAGCCCAATTTCATCCTGCAGCATTTAGTCACTTTAGCTTGAATTAACTTTATTGTAAAATACATGAAAAATAATGTGAATGAAATAATTCTGAAAATCTTATGATTGTGACCAGTATACATTTAGATTACTTGGGAGTCAAATGCATATATGGCAACGGCAGATATGTTTCTCTCTACTTTTAAAAGGTAGTGATAAATCCTGCCTCCAGCTCTGGCATAATTGATTAAGTCAAAAAGCTAAAAGGCTGCCCCATCATCTAGGGGCTCCAAAGAAACAGATTTAGGAATTATATGGCATCCACTCTCAGGGTCACCTTGGACCTGGTCACCACCCAGAACTGCTTTGATTATGACATCTTAAGCTCCATTATTTAGGCCTCTGACCACAACCTCCTGGTCTTCTATTTCTCACTCCCTCACTGCTGCTACCTTGAAACACCCCACTCTTCTTTCTCCCACTCCCTATCTCTCCTCTGGGCTTTTATTACCTCACTTGTCACTTTAATAACTCATTATTTCCTTCAACTTACCTGTTCCCTAGTCTATTTTTTTTGAGACAGAGTCTTGTTCTGTTGCCCAGGCTGGAGTGCAGTGGTGTGATCTTGGCTCACTGCAACCTCTGCCTCCTGGGTTCAAGAGATTCTCCTGCCTCAGCCTCCTGAGTAGCTGGCATTACAGGCACACGCCACCACACCCGGCTAATTTTTTGTATTTCTAGTAGAGATGGGGTTTCAACATATTGGCCAGGCTGATCTCAAACTCCTGATCTCAAGTGATCCACCCACCTCAGCCTCCCAAAGTGCTGGGATTAGAGGCGTGAGCCACCGCACCCTGCCTCCCCTAGTCTTTATATTACACCTGCCCCACAATACGAGGGATGGCCTTGAATCCATTTTCTTTTTCTGTCATACTCATATACAGGATGTTGGGCTCAGTTGAAAAAAATCACACAACTCTGTACAGAAGGGCAACACAATACAACATGGCTTCCAAACTCGATTAGGCCCTGAGTCACTTGGAAAGCCTTTTATAGCTCCTTGATCAGCTTCCCATCCCATTTGTCTCTTTTTCTTTTTTATTTTATTTTTTTTTTTTTTTTGAGACGGAGTCTCAATCTGTCGCCCAGGCTGGAGTGCAGTGGCGCATCTCCGCTCACTGCAAGCTCCGCCTCCCGGGTTCACGCCATTCTCCTACCTCAGCCTCCCCGCGTAGTTGGGACTACAGGCGCCGGCCACCACGCCCGGCTAATTTTTTTGTATTTTTTTTTTTTTAGTAGAGACGGGGTTTCACGGTATTAACCAGGATAGTATCGATCTCCTGACCTCGTGATCCACCCGCTTCCGTCTCCCAAAGTGCTGGGATTACAGGCGTGAGCCACGGCGCCTGTCCTGTCTCATTTCAAATACAATGTCTTCTTTACTTTAAACTTCAATCTAAATTTTCTCCCCTCAGTCTCAACAAAAGGACTTGTCTTCTGACCCCAACTGGAAAGCTATTTTCAGCCATCTTTATGAGCTTTTGATCAACTAGGTAAGTTGTAATTCATGCATCTTAAGACACATTAAGCAAAAGAGTTACTAGGAGTTTCCTCTGATAGAGTTTGGCAGGGCACGATGGCTCATGCCTGTAATCCCAGCACCTTGGGAGGCCGGAGCAGAATCGCTTGAACCTGGGAGGTGAAGGTTGCAGTGAGCTGAGATGGCGCCACTGCACTCCAGCCTGGGCAACAGAGCAAGACTCTGTCTCAAAAAAAAAAAAAAAAAAAAGAGTTTGGATATTTGTCCCCACCCAAATTTCGTGTTGAGAGGTAATCCCCAGTATTGGGAGGGGGGGGCCTCATGGGAGGTGTTTGGATCATTGGGGTGGATCTCTTATGAATGGCTTGGGCCATCTTCTTGGTGATAAGTGAACTCTCACACTGTGTTCACGAGAGATCGGGTCTTTAAAAGTGTGTGGCACCCTCCCCCACCTTGCCTGCTCCTGCTTTTGCCATGTGACGTGCCTGCTCCCCTTTTGCCCTCACCATGATTGTAGGCTTCCCAAGGCTTCCCTAGAAGCCAAGCAGATGCCAGCACCGTGCTTTCTTAAAGCCTTTAGAAACGTGAGCCAATTAAACTTCTCTTTATAAATTACCTAGTCTCAGATATTTATTTATAGCAATGTAAAAATGGCCTAATATATCCCCATTTTGCATTACTTTTTTTTTTTTTTTTTTTTTGAGATAGAGTCTCACTCTGTTGCCCAGGCTGGAGTGTAGTGGCATGATCTCAGCTCACCACAACCTCCACCTCCTGAGTTCAAGAGATTCTCCTGCCTCAGCCTCCTGAGTAGCTGGGACTACAGGTGCATACCACCAAGCCCGGCTAATTTTTGTATTTCCAGTAGAGACAGGGTTTCACTATGTTGGCCAGGCTGGTGTCGAACTCCTGACCTCATGATCTGCCCATCTCAGCCTCCCAAAGTGCTGGGATTACAGGCGTAAGCCACCGCGCATGGCCTTGTATATTTTATTTGGAGAAATCTCTATTGAGATGCTTTGTTTTAATTGGATTATCTTTTTATTGTTGAGTTGTAATATCTTATATATTCTAAATGCGACTTCTTTATCAGGTATATATGGCAAATATTTTCTCCCATTCTGCAGATTTTCTTTTCACGTTGTTTTCACATTCTTTTCTTTCTTTCTTTCTTTTTTTTTTTTTTTTTTTTTTTTTTGACAAGGTCTTGCTCTGTCACTCAGGCTGGAGTGCAGTGGCACAATCACAGCTCAGTGCAACCTCAACCTCCTGGGCTCAAGCTATCCTCCTACCTCAGCCTCCTGAGTAGCTAAGACCACAAGTGCACACCACCACACCAGGCTACCTATTTTTTTTATTTTTTATTTTTTTGGTAGAGACGAGTTCTTGCTATGTTACTCAGGCTGGTTTTGAACTCCTGGACTCAAGTGACCCTCTAATCTTGGCCTCCCAAAATGCTGGGATTACAGGCGTGAGCCATCACTCCTGGCTTCTTTTCACCTTTTTGGGGGTAAAGCACAAAACTAATTTTAATGATGTCCAATTTATATTTTGTTGTTGTTGTTTGTGCTTTTGGTGTCATATCTAGGAAGCCATTGCTTAATTCAAGATCACAAAGATTTATACCTACTTTTTCTAAGACTTTAAGTTTTAGTCCTACATTTTGAATAAATTTTTATATATGGTACAAGGTTGGGAGGTATCCAACTTTATTCTTTTGCATATGGGTATTTAGTTTTCCCAGTACCACTTGTTAAAAAGACTACCTTTTCTCCATTGGATGGTCTTAAAACCCTTGTCAAAATTCATTGACCATAGATGTGAGGGCTTATTTCTGGTCTCTCACTTCTTTTTTTTTTTTTTTTTTTTTTTTTTTGAGACGGAGTCTCGCTCTGTCGCCCAGGCTGGAGTGCAGTGGCGCAGTCTCGGCTCACTGCAAGCTCTGCCTCCCGGGTTCACGCCATTCTCCTGCCTCAGCCTCCCAAGTAGCTGGGACTACAGGCGCCCGCCACTATGCCCGGCTAATTTTTTGTATTTTTAGTAGAGACGGGGTTTCACCGTTTTAGCCGGGATGGTCTCGATCTCCTGACCTCGTGATCCGCCCGCCTCGGCCTCCCAAAGTGCTGGGATTACAGGCGTGAGCCACCGTGCCCGGCCCGGGTCTCTCACTTCTATCCGTTAATCTGTATGACTGTCTCTCCTTATGCCAGTACCATACTGTTTTGATTACTGTAGCTTCATAGTAAGTTTTAAATCAGGATGTGTGAGTCCTCCAAATTTATTCTTCTTCTTCAAGATTGTTTAGCTATTCTGGGTCCCTTGAATTACCATATTAATTTTAGGATCAGCTTGTTGATTTCTGTAGAGGCCAGATGGAATTATGATAAGGATTGTGTTATATCTATAGTGCCCTGGGGAGTATTGCCATCTTAACAATATTAAGTCTTTTCATTCTTTTGTCTTCTTTAACAATATTTTGTAGTTTTCAGAGTACAGGTTTTATACTTCTTTTATTAAATTTATTCCTAAGTATTTTAGTCTTCTTGATGCTGTTGTATATAGAATTGGTTTCCTAATTTCATTTTCACAGTTTTCATAGCAAGCATATGGAAATATAATTAATTTATGTATATTAATCTTGTATCCTTCAACTTTGCTGAACTCATTTATTAGTGCTCATGGTTTTTAAGTGGATTTCTTAGGATTTTTTATATAAGATTATGTCACCTGCAACCTGAAGGTTCTTATGGAGGATTACAACAACTGTGCTGTCGTGGGGCTAAGCTGGGGGTGCTTCATCAATCTTTTCAAAATAGTGGTGTGTTTTTTGCCGAAAGCTTTTCATTTTTCTCATTAGAAAAGATGAATCTCTCAACAAAAATTATTACTAACTCTTTATATATTACATTTCAGCTGGCCACCGCTGAAAAAACACGTTTTTACTTTTTACTGCAAGGGTTGCACTTATCAATCTGCACAAACACATGAAAGCACATGAGGTCATGATTCCAACAAACTTTCAGTATTGATCTCTTTTATTCAGGAGGCATTGTGGTTTATGGAAGAGCTTGGCTTGTGGAATTGGGAGGCTGGTTTTCAATCCAAATCTATCCATATTATCAGTGAGACTAATGCTCACCCAACTCAATTCACAGGCTTATTGTTGAAAGTCCAGTGAGCTACCTCAGGCTTTTCTCTGTGGAATGACTGTTGCAGAGAACTGCACCTCAGAAGAATGGAGGTACCAAAAGAGGCTGAGCTGTACCCTGGGCAATGCTTACTTTTTATTTTAGTCAAGTCACTTCCTGGGTTTCATCGGGGACAATTCCTTTCCTAGTTTAAAACTGTGATGACATTCTACCTCATTGAAGAAATCCTCCAGTGCCAAGGGTGGATCTCTAAAGAAGGTATACCCATATCTCACCCAGCTTGGTACCTGCAGGCTGAAGAGTATCTAAGGTTCTGCAATGGGAAAATCATAGTAGTGCTCAGGAAGAAACAACAGGCTGTATAGCCTTATCTTAGTCACAGAGCCAAGGCTTTGTCACCAGGATGGAAGATTAGCAGGGGGAATTTTATGCCTATCATAATGTTCATTGTATTAGCTGCACCACTCCTTCCTTCCTTAATATGCAATTAAAGGCTGACTTTAAAAGAGATAAATAACATGTCAATTTTATGATAGCCAAAGCCAATAACCTTACCATGTGGTTTCCTAGCAAGGCTCAAAAGCAGAGTGGCAAAAGTATGGCCCTAGAGTCAGATTGTCCTTGGGTTCCAATCCTGGCTTTATCCCTTAATAGCTATATGACCTTGGCAATGTATGTAATCCCATTTCCTTAACTGTAAGGAGTATAATTATAGCAATTCATAGGAATTATTGCAAGAATTGAATAAAATATATATCGTTCTTACCACATGATAAACACATGATACATTTTAGCTAGTAGTAGTATTCTTCAAGGCATTTAGTTGATTAAGCTAAGAAAATGCATTGGCTTGAAGGAGGGCAGGTGGACAATTAGAAAATTTTTTTTTCTTTTTAAGATAAAAAATTTAAAAGATAAGAAATGGAATAAAGTTTAAAAGGTTTCAAGTTTTAAAATCTTTTTCAAAAAGAAAAGAAAATGCATTGGCCAGTGAAAGCATTATAATTATGATTCTTTCGTTTGTTTCTGAGACAGGGTCTCTCTGTGTTGCCCAGGCTGGTCTTGAACTTCTGGGCTCAAGGGATCCTCCCTCCTCGGCCTCCCAAAGTGCAGGGATTACAGGCGTCAGCCACTGTACCCAGCCACATTATAACTGATTTTTTTTTTTTTGAGACAGAATCTCGCTGTGTTGCCCAGGCTGGAGTGCAGTGGTGCAATCTCAGCTCACTGAAGCCTCCGCCTCCCGCGTTCAAGCAATTCTCTTGCCTCAACTTCCCAAGTAGCTGGGACTGCAGGTGTGTGTCACCACACCCAGCTAATTTTTGTATTTTCAGTAGAGATGGTGTTTCACCATATTGGGTAGGCTGGTCTTGAACTCCTGACCTCACGTGATCTGCCCACCTCAGCCTCCCAAAGTGCTGGGATTACAGGTGTGAGCCACCACACCACAACTGATTTTTAATTGAAGTACACTCCCAATGTTTTTCAAACTTTAGTATACATTAAAATCACCAAGAATGTTTTTGTAAATGAAAATTTCCAGGCTCTAACCTCTCCTGTCCACACTCCCTGAATTTCTGATTCAGTAGTCAGTGGCAGGTCCCATGAATCTGCATCTGTAGCAAATACTCCAGTATTCTGATTCAGGTGATTCATGGATACTTTTTAAAATTAACTTTTAATTTTGATATAATCTCAAATTTACAGAAAAGTTGGAAAAACAACCCCAAATTTTTCACATATGCTTTACTAAGATTCATCAATTTTAAATATTTTGCTATATTTGCTTTATCAATGTTTGTCTCTGTCTATAAAAATGTTTTCCTAAATTATTTGAGAGTAGGTTGCATATCATCTCTATAGCCTTTAAAACTTCAGTGTATATTTCCTAAGAATAAGGATATTCTCTTTACATAACCACTGTTCAGTTATTAAATTCAGTGAATTTAACATTAATAAAATACCTATATCTAATATATAACACATATTCCAATTTTATTGATTGTCTCAATAATGCCTTTTATAGCTACTTTTTTTTCCCGTACAGGATTCAATCCAGGATCACATCTTATATTTACAATAACATGCCTTTTTTCTCCTTCAGTCTGGAACCGTGTCTCAGTCTATCTTTGTTCTTTATGACATTGACATATTTTAAAGAATAAAAGCCAATTCTTTTATGCACCATCTCTTATTGTGTGTTTGGCTGATGTTGTCTGTTGATTAGATTCAGGTTATGCATTTCTGACTGGAATCATACATAAATGATGTCCTTTTCAGAGTGTTGTCTCTGGAGACACATGATATCCACATGATATCTTCTTGGAGAGACAAACCACACTTAAGAAATATTTGACTACTTCGAGAGATATTTGACTTGCCACTTTCTGCTCCAAGAGGCCTCAGAATCTAAAGTAGTCAAAAAAACAAGACTTCTCTCCTGAATGTTCTGATTGATTGTAATTTGTTAAGGGGCTTATTTAACCATTGCCTAATTACTTTAGAATATGATCACATATTAACCACAGCTGCTATTACATTCAAAACCACAACACACCTTCATATTTATTAATAACTTATGCAGTTTCCCACCTTTCCCCCCAACCATTTCATTCTTAGTAACTCTGGATCATAACATTTATTTCATGGTTAATACAGGTAATCTATGTGATGTTTCATATGACATGACTAAATCAGTTAATGCATATGTCAGTTATGTCATATGACATAACTAAATCAGTTAATGATGGTATTTTGAAGCTAGTAGAAACCACTTAATTCCTTACATCACACATTTTACAATGTGTAAGCTTCCTCTTCAATGGTGTGTTTGGAAATATTCACTTATTTTTTGTTTAATCCTAAAATATACTTATCCATGAACTGCAATTTATATTTTATCATATCACTTAAATTTCCCTGTAAAATTTTTAGCCAGCTGCCTCAGTGTACCTACTGCATTGCAGACTATATATTTCTCTTGGAATTCAGTCATTCATTTACCTGAAAAAGTTCAAAGACTGAAGAAGAATATGATTTAAGTCTTAAAGAAGCTAGCATTTATTGAGTACTAGCTTTATGCCAGCCACTGTTGAAATGGGAATTCCCTTGTCCCCCTTGCAGGGCGTGCGATGGGAGTGTGGCTTGCTTCTTCAGTGCACCACTGCACAAACTTCTAGGGGAGCATACAGACGGGCAGGCTGTGGGGCTCCAACCTCAAGGCAGTGTCCAGCAGTGAATGTTTACAGCTGAAGCCCCAGTGGGTGTGTGTTACAGGGTGCTCTTTTAGTTTTGCCACCTATAGGCGGCTTGTGTTAACCGGCTCAATTAGACCCTCTAACTTGTCTCAAGGACAGAGGGCTTTCTGTATCCTGGGTTCTTGCCTTGGTGTACTGGATGAATTGGATCACACGTGGGCTTGGAGAATGAGTGCAAGGTTTTATTGAATGGAAGTAGCTCTCAGCTGATGGGGGAGCCAGAAGGGAGATGGTTTTCCCCTGGAGTCTGGCCGCTGGGCAGCCCCAGATCTCCTCCAACTGCCCCAGGCAAACCTCCTTCTCATCCCGCCTGTCGATGGCCTATCGGCATGCCAACATCTATTGATGTGCTCTTCTGCCAGCATGCTCCCCTTGACATCTTTTCACCATCCAGCCACTTGTGTCTTCTTCCACTGACGTGCTCCTCTTGATATCCTGCCGCCTGTGTCTGCCTGCTAGGGTCTCGGGAGTTTTTATAGGCACAGGATGGGGTTGTGGCAGGCCAGGGTGGTCTTGGGAAATGCAACATTTGGGCAGGAAATGCCTGTCCTCACTTAGGTCCATGGGGGTGGAGCCCTAGCCAGGGACGAAGCCCTCCTCTACCTAGCACTTCCCTTCCCCCACGCCCATTCCATATCCTTTAAAGGGTCCATGCTCTTCCCTTCCCAGCACTTCCATACCACTATTACATATTACCTCACACCAACCAGAGAGGAATGTTTTTGCTACCACCATTTTGCAGACAAAAGAACAGAACTAAATAATTTGCTTAACACCAAACAGCTAACAAATGATACAACTAGGATTTAACCCTAGGTCTGATGAACTCTGAATAAACTCTTTCTGGCTACCTCCCATAAAATCGCAATGGTAAGGATAGAGTGAAAAGATTAAATTCACAAATTTCAGAATTCCATAATTAGGGCATGCAATCTAAAGTCAGATGAAATGGAAATGCAACTTAAAGTCAGATGAAAATATTACCTTACTAAATGGTCAGGAAATGGTAAGGAATTTTTTTTTTTTCAGTTGCAAGATTTAATAGAGTGAAAACAGAGCTCCCATACAAAGGGAGGGGACCCAAAGAGGGTAGCCGTTGCCGGCTCGAATGCCTGGGTTTATATCCCAATCATTGTCCCTCCCGCCATGCTCTCAGGCAACAGATGATTGGCTATTTCTTTACCTACTGTTTTTGCCTAATTCGCATTTTAGTGAGCTCCCTTTACTATCTGATTGGTTGGGTGTGAGCTAGGCTAGGGATTCTTAGTCGGCCTAGGAAATCCAGCTAGTCCTGTCTCTCAGTTCCCCCTCTCAACAGGAAAACCCAAGTGCTGTTGGGGAGGTTGGCCAACGACTGCTCTAACTGCTTCCTGCTGAATTGGGGCATAGTAGGGGCTGTGCAGTTGAGATTTCCTTGGGAGGGGTGCCTTCGATGTCATTAACATCGGAGCATGGGCTAGCAGGCCGGTCCAGGGGTCCGCAGTAGATCTTAGTCGTGGACTGCATCTGGAGCTCCATTTGAAGAACCATTTGTAGTTGCACAGCTTCGATTCTGGAAGAGACAAACTTAACAAGGAGGTTAAAGACACACGGTCCAAAGAGGAGTAGCAATATTATAGCTGCTAGAGGTCCTAAGAAGGGGAGAATCCAGGGCATCCATCGGCTGAGGAGGCCCCAGGTCCAGTGTTTTGAAGCTCCTCTGCTCTACATTGTATTCGATCTCGAATTTCGTTAACTTTCTCTCGGTGACGATTCCGGATTGATTAACATAATAACAGCATTCTTCCCCTAAAAATAAACAGGTTCCCTCTCTTTTGGCAGTTAGCAAGTCTAAAGCTCTTTGATTTTGAAGGACTACTGCTGCTAGGGAGTTAAGTTGATCTTGCAAGGTGACCAGGGAATTGGTGACCCGTTCCATGTCATCATTTAGTTCTTGAGATAGTTTGTAGTAGAACTGAGTAGAGGTTGTGGTACCACCAATGCCAGTACCTAGTCCGCCTAGCACTCCTGCTCCGATAACAAAAGGAAGAATGGGCACTCTTTTGTTGCAGGGCTTAGGTGCAACATGATTGTATAAATCTTGTTCAGTGTAGATGGTCATGCGGGCACTAAGAATGAGAGGAAGCACATAGATTCTGAAGAGCCATTCAAACGATAGGCTGAGGTACCACAGACAAAAAATATTCCTGAGGATAAGCAGACTATTCCTGTGGGAGGAGTTACCCACCTTATGCATTGGGAGTTGGTTCTATCTATAGTATTGCTAAATTTTATAGAGATGAGGTTTGAGGTATGGGTTATTTCCAGATTGGAAACAAGAGGTCCTACTAAAACGGAAGTAGTGTTTATTTTTGTGCTGGAGTTGTTCCATTGTTCAGGTACAGGGATTGAAATGTATGGCCTGAAGTGCAGGGGGAGGCACATCCAACAGTTAGTAGGGTTTTGGGATGAGGATAAGCCAGTATAGGCTGGATACGTTCCTCACTGAGGGCCCTGGTGCCTTTGGATAATTTTAGCTGTAAGTATTTAACCTGTTGTGAGCAGAGCTGAGCCTTTGGTTTGGAAACCTGTAGCCACAGGTGGCGAGGAAATTGAAGAGTGCTTGGCTGGCTTGATGGCACAAGGTTTCTGAACAGGCGGCTAAAAGTAAATCATCCATGAACCGAAGGACAAGAGTGTCCAGGTACGAAAACTGGCTCAAGTCTTGGGCTAATTCTTGGCCACATAGATGGGGGATATCCCTGAATCCTTGGGGTAAAACAGTCCAGGTGAGTTGAGACGTTGGGTTTGAAGGATCTTCAAAGGCAAACAAGAATTGAGAGTCAGGATGTACAGGGATGCAGAAAAAGGCATCCTTAAGGTCCAGGACTGTAAACCACTCTGCTTCCTCTGGTATTTGGGAGAGCAGAGTATAACGATTAGGGACAGCTGGGTATAGAGGGACAACGGCCTCACTGATAATCCTGAGATCTTGCACTAACCTTCACTGTCCGTTGGGTTTCTGTACTACTAAAATTGGAGTATTGCAGGGGCTATTGCATGGTTTTACTAGGCCTTGCGATTTTAGGTCCTTAACAATTTTTTGGAGTCCTTGTTGGGCCTAAGCCTACAAATTATTCAATGATGTCCATTATAACACAGGGAAAGGAAGAAAATCCTACTGCCTTTCTGGAGAGACTAAGGGAGGCATTGAGGAAGCATATCTCCCTGTCACCTGACTCTATTGAAGGCCAACTAATCCTAAAGGATAAGTTTATCACTCAGTCAGCTGCAGACATTGGGAAAAAAACTTCAAAAGTCCACCTTAGGCCCGGAGCAAAACTTAGAAACCCTATTGAACTTGGCAACCTTGGTTTTTTATAATAGAGATCAGGAGGAGCAGGCGGAACGGGACAAACGGGATAAAGAAAAGGCCATCGCTTTAGTCATGGCCCTCAGGCAAGCAGACTTTGGAGGCTCTGGGAAAGGGAAAAGCTGGGCAAATCAAATGCCTAACAGGGCTTGCTTCCAGTGTGGTCTACAAGGGCACTTTAAAAAAATTGTCCAAGTAGAAGTAAGCCGCCCCCTCGTCCATGCCCCTTATGTCAAGGGAATCACTGGAAGGCCCACTGCCCTAGGGGACGAAGGTCCTCTGAGTCAGAAGCCACTAACCAGATGATCCAGCAGCAGGACTGAGGGTGCCCAGGGCAAGCGCCAGCCCATGCCATCACCCTCACAGAGCCCTGGGTATGCTTGACCATTGAGGGCCAGGAGGTTAACTGTCTCCTGGACACTGGCGTGGCCTTCTCAGTCTTACTCTCCTGTCCCGGACAACTGTCCTCCAGATCTGTCACTATCCGAGGGGTCCTAGGACAGCCAGTCACTAGATACTTCTCCCAGCCACTAAGTTGTAAATGGAGAACTTTACTCTTTTCACATGCTTTTCCAATTATGCCTGAAAGCCCCACTCCCTTGTTAGGGGGAGACATTCTAGCAAAAGCAAGGGCCATTAGACACCTGAACATAGGAGAAGGAACACCCATTTGTTTTCCCCTGCTTGAGGAAGGAATTAATCCTGAAGTCTGGGCAACAGAAGGACAATATGGACGAGCAAAGAATGCCCATCCTGTTCAAGTTAAACTAAAAGATTCCACCTACTTCCCCTACCAAATGGTAAGGAACTTTTACTGCTTAGGGTCCTTTGAGAAAATCAGAAGAAATTTCATAACAGATTATTTTGAAAACCTTGAAAACAGAGTTGAAGTCCTTATGTTTCCCTTTGCATCCCACCTACTCTCCTTCTTCCTTCCCCATAAGTTCCTGTTGTTTTTATACCTTGCATAAATAATGTCATTAAAAAAAATCAATAAATGCAAAAATGGTATGTTATACATAATACTGGACAACTTGGTATTGTCACTAACCACTACGTTTTCAAGATCTAGCATTTCAATTACATTTATCTAATACACAATGTCAAAATACAAATTTCTAATACATTTATTTTCATGACTATATAGTAAGAATATATCAAGTGGGATAAATTTTAACACTTTATCTTTTCCCAGAATGAGAAATATTTGGATTTATAATGTGTTCTTAGAAAAGCTAGAATTGATTGGAAAACACTTTCAACTTTTGAAATTAGCATTATGAATAACCCCCCAATAGCCAAACAGGGTAAAGGAGGCCTGGAGTTTTCATCTGATGTTTGGAAAACCATTACCAAAATACCAGGGGTTCCCTCTAGGTCCTGCTGTGCACCACACAGAAAGCCAACCACTGAGACAATAATTATTGCCAAATGATTATTGCCAAAGAAGAAGGCTTTAATCGGGTGCTGCAGCCAAGCAGATGGGAGATCAGTCTCAAATCCATCTCCCCAACCAACGAAAATTAGGGACTTACATAGCAGGGAAGAAATGTAACTATGGGTAGGAAAAGCAGAGGGGTAAGGAAGCACTCATGATGTATGAGAGGCCTGGCATCTCATTGTCTGGATGAGACGATCTGGTGAGTTTCAGTTCTTCAATACTTTTTGAGAGGCCTGGGGGCCCTTTCCTGAGGAAGGAACTCAGATAAAATAATGCGAAGTTTCCGCTTTAAGACCAGAAGGGTCAATTTCCATGTTTATACAAAAAAAAACTGTCTATGGGACTATTGGGTCAGTTTCAAGACCCTTAGGTTTGAGCCTTAAGATCTCAAAGGGGGCCTCAAAATTAGATTCTATTTCTGTATTTTTTAATGTTCCAGTATTTCAACACTATGTATTAGGAAGAAAAGACAATTTCAAAGCAGGTGGTATATTAAAGACTAATTAATGTCATGTGTACTCTCTCTCTCTCTTTTTTTTTTTTACAAGATAGGATTGAAGAATTTGAAACTGAAGGAAATAAAGGGTGGAGGCCCCGCCAGACAGCAGCGAGGGGCAAGGAGGTAGAAACAATGGCAGGGCTTGGGAAAGTAAGGGGCAGGACCAGGGGAAGAAGGAAGGAGGCTGGTGTTGGGGGGATGAGGGGAAGACTAAAGAGGATGGGGGGAGTGAGAAGCAGGTGGGTAGGGGCGGGAGGGGAGAAGCAAGGGGGCAAGTGGAAGCAGAAGTAGCAAAAGAGAGGATGGAGGTGGGGGAGAAGCAAGTGGTAGGAACAAGGAGGATGAAGGGAGGGAGCAGGTGGGAGGAGAAACAGAAAAGCAAGAGAAAGGATGGGGAGGTGGTGAGAAGTGAGGGATGGGACCAAGGGAAGAGATGCCAGGCCAGGAGGGAAAAGTGAGGGGACAGATGGGGAGAGAGGATAGGAAAATGTTATATGTACTCTCATATGTACATATCACCCTTATTTATTTAATACATTTTAGTTTTTAGAGCAGTTTTAGGGACACATCAAAATTAAGCTGGAGATACAGAGAGTTTGCATATATCCCCTGTCCACACATATTCACAAATTCCCCCACTATAAACATCCCACACCAAAGTAGTACATTTGTTACAGTGAATCTACATAGACACATTATTATCATTCAAAGTCCATAGTTTACATGAAGGTTCATTATTCGTGTGTATTCTGTGGGTTTGAACAAATGTATAATGACATGTATCCACCATTATAGTATCATACAGGGTAATTTCACTGCCTTCAAAATCCTCCATGCTCCACCTGTTCATCCTTCTCTTGGCAACCACTCATCTATTCACTTTCTCCATGGTTTTGCTTTTTCAGGAATGTCATATATAGTCATGGGCTGGATTAATGACATTCTAGTCACACATACTTACCATTGTGTTACAATGCAATGGTCTACAGTATTCAGTACAGTAACATGATGTATACAGGTTGGTAGCTAGGAGCAATTGTCTATACCATCTAGGTTTGTGTAAGTACAACTTACGATGTTTGCACAATCTCCTAATGAAGCATTTCTCAGAATGTATCCCTGTCATTAAGCAATCCATGACTGTAGTTTGTACAGTATGTAAACTTTTCACACTGGCTTTTTTTAAATGTACTAATATGCATTTATGTTTCCTCCCTGTCTTTTCTGGGCTTGATAGCTCATTTCTTTTTAGTACTGAATAGTATTCCATTGTCTGGATGTACCGTAGCTTATCCATTCACCTACCAAAAGACATCTTGGTTGCTTTTCAGCTTTGGCAGTTATAAATAAACCTGCTATTAACATCTGTCTGCAGGTTTTTGTGTAAGCATAAGTTTTCAGTTCATTTGGGTAAATACTAAGGAGCATGATCGATTGAATGTATGGTAAAAGCATGCTTCATTTTGTAAGAAATCGACAAACTGTCTTTCAAAGTGACTGTACCACTTTGCATTCCTATCAGCAAAGAATGAGCGTTCCTGTTGTTCCACATTCTCACCAGCATTTGGTGCTGTCAGTGTTTGGGATTTTGGCCATTCTAATGATGTGTGGTTTTAATTTTCAATTCCCTAATGACATATGATGTTGAACACCTTTTCATAGGATTACTTATCATCTGCATATCTTCTTTAATAAGGTCTCAGTTCAGATCTTTCACCCATTTTTTATTGAGGTTGTTTTCTTATTGTTAAATTTTAAGACTTCTTTATATATTTTAAGTAAATAGTAAATATTTGTTTTTGGTTTTTTTTGAGATGGAGTCTCCCTTTGTCACCCAGGCTGGAATGCAGTGGTGCAATCTCAGCTCACTGCAACCTCCGCCTCCAGGGTTCAAGCAATTCTCCTGCCTCAGCCTCCTGAGTAGCTGGTACTACAGGCGTGCACAACCACACCAGGGTAATTTTTGTATTTTTAGTAGAGATGAGGTTTCACCATGTTGGCCAGGCTGGTCTCAAACTCCTGACCTCAAGTGATCCACCCACCTTGGCCTCCCAAAGTGCTGGGATTACAGGTGTGAGACACTGCCCCTGGCCTATTTTAAGTAAATATTTAAAAATACAAAAAATATTTAAGTAAGTATTGACTTAAAATATACAGAGAATACCTTTATCAGATGTGTCTCTTGCAAATACTTTCTCCTAGTGTGTGGCTTGTTTTCTTGTTCCTTTGGAAATATCTTTAGCAAAGCAGAAGCTTTTAATTTTAATGAGGCCCAGCTTATCAATTATTCCTTTCAGGTATTGTACCTTTGGTATTGTATCTAAAAAGTCATTGCCAAACCCAAGGTCACCTAGATTTTCTCCCACGTTATCTTCTAGGAGTTTTATAGTTTTGCATTTAGGTCTCTAGTCAATTTTGAGTTAAATTTTGTGAAAGATGTAAGTCTGTGTCTAGGAGTTTTTTTTTTTTTTTTTTTTGGTGGGTTGTGGTTTTTTTTTTTTTTTTTTTTGGCATGTGGTTTTCTAGTTGTTCCAGAACCATTGGTAGAAAATACTTTCTTTGTTCCATTATGTTGACTTTGCTGCTTTGTCTTTGACTGTATTTAAGTGGGTCTATTACTATTACTAGGCTCTCTATTCTGTTCTATTGATATATTTGTCTCTTCCTTTGCCAATACCACATTGTCTGTCTTTCTTTTGTTTTGTTTTGTTTTGTTTTGTTTTGTTTTTTTGAGAAGGAGTCTCGGCCGGGCGCAGTGGCTCACGCCTGTAATCCCAGTACTTTGGGAGGCTGAGGCGGGCAGATCACAAGGTCAGGAGATCGAGACTATCCTGGCTAACACGGTGAAACCCCATCTCTACTAAAAATACAAAAAATTAGCCGGGCGTGGTGGTGGGCGCCTGTAGTCCCAACTACTCGGGAGGCTGAGGCGGGAGAATGGCGTGGACCTGGGAAGCAGAGCTTGCAGAGAACTGAGATCGCACCACTGCACTCCAGCCCCGGCAACAGAGCGAGAGTGTGTCTCAAAAAAAAAAGAGAAGGAGTCTCGCCCTGTCACCCAGCCTGGAGTGCAGTGGTACAATCTCTGCTCACTGCAACCTCTGCCTCCTGGGTTCAAGTGATTCTCCTGCCTCAGCCTCCTGAGTAACTGGGATTATAGGCACTTGCCACCATGCCTGGCTAATTTTTGTATTTTTAGTAGAGACGGGGTTTCACCATATTGGTCAGGCTGGTCTCAAACTCCTGACCTCAGAAGATCCACCCGCCTCGGCCTCCCAAAGTGCTGGGATTACAGGCGTGAGCCACCGCACCGAGCCCACCCTGTCTTGATTAATATAGCTTTACAGTAAGTCCTGAAGTTGGATAGTTTCAGTCCTCCAACTTTGTTCTCCTTCAATATTTGTTGACTATTCTGAGTCTTTTGTCTCTTTCTATAAGACATACCCACAAGATAACTTCTGGGATTTTGCTTGGGATTGTGTTGAATCTACAGATCAAGTTGGGAAGGACTGACATTTTAACAATATTGGGTCTTTCCAACCAGGAATACAGAATATGTCTCCATTTACTTAGTTCCTTTTTGATATCTTTAATCAGAGTTCTGTAGTTTCCCTCATATAGATTTTGTACATATTTTGCTAGATTTATACCTAACTATTTCATTTTTGGGGGTGCTAATTATGTGTTTTTAATTTCAAATTCCATTGTTTATTGCTAGTATATAGAAAACTGAGCCCGGGTGTGGTGGCTCATGCCTGTAATCCCAGCACTTTGGGAGGCCAAGGTAGGGGATCACCTGAGGTCAGGAGCTCAAGACCAGACTGGCCAATATGGTGAAACCCTGTCTCTACTAAAAATACAAAAATTAGCTGGGCGTGGTGGCATGTGCCTGTAATCCCAGCTATTTGGGAGGCTGAGGCAGGAGAATCGCTTGAACCTGGGAAACGGAGGTTGCAGTGAGCTGAGATCACACCACTGCACTCCAGCCTGGGTGACAAAGCAAGACTCTGTCTCAAAAAAAAAAAAAAAAGAAAACTGATTCACTTTTGTATATTTACCTTGTATCCTGCAGCCTTGCTATAATTGTTTATTAGATCCAAGAGGGTCATTTTTGTCAACTCTTTTGATTTTCTACGTAGATGATCATGTCATCTCCAAACAAAGACAATTTTACTTCTTCCTTCTCAATCCATATACCTTTATTTCCTTTCCTTTTCTTATTACATTAGCTAGGACTTCCAGTATGGTGTTGAAAAGCAGTTGTGCTGGGTGCAGTGGCTCACGCCTGTAATCCCAACACTTTGGGAGGCTGAGGCGGGTGGATCACTTGAGGTCAGGAGTTTGAGACCTGCCTGACCAACATAGTGAAACCCTGTCTCTACCAAAAAATACAAAAATTAGCCAGGTATGCATGGTGGCACATACCTGTAGTCCCAGCTACTCCGGAGGCTGAGGCAAGAGAATTGCTTGAACTCGGGAGGCAGAGGTTGCAATTAGCCAAGACTGAGCCACTGCACTCCAGCCTGGGCAACAGAGTGGGACTCCATCAAACAAACAAACAGAAAGAAAGAATAAAAGAAAAGAAAAAAAAAGAAAGAAAAGAAAAGCAATTGTGAGGGGGACATCCTTATCCTTACCTTATTCCTGATCTTAGCAGGAAAACTTTGGGTTTCTCACCATTAAGCATGATGTTGGCTATAAATTTTTGTAGATGTTCTTTATCAAGTTGAGGAAGTTTTCTTCTATCCTTAGTTTGCTGAGTTTTTTCACATGAGCGGGTGTTGGATTTTGTCAAATGCTTTTTCTGCATCTATTGATATGATCATGTGATTTTCTTTTCTTTTTCTTTTTTTTTTTTTGAGACAGAGTCTCACTCCATTACCCAGGCTGGAAGGCAGTGTCATGATCTTAGCTCACTGTAACCTCTGTCTCCTGGGTTCAAGCAATTCTCTCACCTCAGTCTCCTAAGTAGCTGGGAATACAGGTGTGTGCCACCACACCCAATTAATTTTTTTGTATTTTTAGTAGAGACGGGGTTTTACCATGTTGGCCATTCTAGTCTTGAACTCCTGACCTCAAGTGATCTGCCCACTTTGGTCTCCCAAAGTGCTGGGATTACAGGCATGAGCTGCGGCACCCGGACATGTGATTTTCTTTAAATGCTTTCCAAAAGTTGAATCCAGTTTGCACACTTGTGATACTTTCCACTTGATTTTGGTTTATGGTTCTCCTTACATATTGTTCAATTTAACTTGCTAATATTTTGTTGAGGATTTTTACATTTATGTTAATGAGAGATATTGGTCTGTAGTTTTTTTTTCTTGTACTGTCTTTGTTTGGTTTTGGTATTAATGTAATGCTGACCTCATAGAGTGTGTTAGGAAGTATTCCCTCTTCTATTTTTTGAAAGAGATTGTTAAAAATTTTGTATAATTTTTTTCCTTAAATGTTTGGTAGAATTCACCAGTGAACTCATCTGGGCCTGGTACTTTGTGTTGAAAGTTATTAATTATTGATTCAATTTATGTAATAGTTACAGGCCAATTCAGATTGTCTATTATTTCTTCTGTGAGTTTTAGTAGATCATGTCTTTCAAGGAATTGGCCCATTTCATCTAGGTTATCAAATTTGTGGGACAGAGTCATTCACAGTATTCCTTTATTATCCTTTGAATGTCCATGGGATCTTTAGTAATGTCCCCCCTTTCACTTCTGATATAAGTAATTTGTGTCTTCTCCCTTTTTCTATCAGCTAGAGGCTTATTGATTTTATTGATCTTTTCAAACAAACAGCCCCTGGTTTGTTGATTTTTCTCTATTAATTTTCTTTTCAATTCCATTGATTTCTGTTCTAATTTTTATTATTTCTTTTCTTTTTACTTTTTAAAGGTGGGACCTTGCTCTGTCACCCAGACTGGTTTCAAACTCCTGGCCTCAGGCAATCCTCCCACCTCAGGCTCCCAAGTAGCTGGGATTACAGGCATGAGCCACTGTGCCCAGGTAATTTTTATTATTTCTTTGCTGTTTATTTGGACACAATTTGCTCTTCTTTTTCTAGTTTACTTCTAGAAATAATCTTTTAGCTTAGATTATTGACTTTTAATCTTTTTTCTTAATATATGTATTCAGTGCTAGATATTTCCCTCTAAGCACTGCTTTACCTACATGCCACAAATGTTGATAACTTATATTTACATTTTCATTTGACTTAAATATTTTTTTAATTTCTTGATATTTCTTCCTTGAGTCATGTGTTATTTGGAAGTCTACTGTTTAATCTCCAAGTATTTTTAGATTTTTCACCTATCTTTCTGTTACTGATATGAAGTTTAATTCCACTGAAATTTGAGAGCTTACATTGTATGATTTCTATTCTTTAAATTTGTTAAGATGCATTTTATGGCCCAGAATGTGGTCTATCTTAGTGAATGTTGTATGTTAGCTTAAGAAGAATGTGTAATTGCTGCTGTTGGATGAAGTAGTTCACAAGTGTCAGTTATATCCAGTTGACTGATGATGCTGTTGAGTCCAGCTTTGTCCTTACTGACTTCTGCTTTCTAGATCTAGCCACTTCTGATAGAGAGATGTTAAAGTTTCCACCTATAATAGTGGATTTATCTATTTTTCAATGCAGTTATATTAGTTTTTGTCTCACATATTTTGACACTCTGTTGTTAGGTGCATCCCCATTAAGGATTATTATGTCATCTTGCAGTACTGACCCCTTTATCATTTTGTAGTATTGCATATTATTTCTGATAATTTTCTTTGCTCTGACATCTACTCTGCCTGAAATGAGTATAGCTACTCCCATTTTCTATTAGTTGGTGTTAACAGCATATATCTTTCTCCAAGCTTGATTGCAGTGGCACAATTATGACTCACTGCACATTGCAGTCTTGACCTCCTGGGCCCAAGTTATCTTCCCACCTCAGCCTTCTGAGTAGCTAGGACCACAGGTGCACATCACCACACCTGGCTAATGTTTTTAGTGTTTTTGTAAAGATGGGGGTCTCACTATGTTGCCCAAGCTGGCCTCAAATTCCTGGGCTCAAGCAATCCTCCCACTCTGGTCCCATCAAATGCTGGAATTGCAGGCATGAGCCACCACACCTGGCCCAAGTTCACTTTCAAATAACAATATACCACTTCATGAGTAGTGCAAGTAATAACAAAATAATCCTAATTCCTCATGTCCACCTTTGCATCATTGCTGTCATTCATTTCACTTATATGTAAGGATGTGGCTATATATTCAAATACCAAAAACTCCAAGTACATTGTTGCTATTTTTATTTTGAACAATCTTATCTGCTAGATCAGTTAAGAATAAGAAAAATGAAGGTTTTTACTTTTATTTTCTGACATTCTTCCTTTCTTTATGTAAATCTGTTTCTGACCTGTATCATTTTTCTTCCATCTGAAGAACTTCTTGTAACATTTCTTGTAAGGCAGGCCTATTAGCAACAAATTCCCTCAATTTTTTGTCTGAGAATATCTTTATTTTTTTCTTTATCTTTGGATTTCTGAAGTTTGACTATGATATGCCTAGAAATAGTGAGGTTTTTTGCATTTATTTTACTTGGTGTTCTCTGAGCTTCTGGTTCTTCGGCTTGTTGTGTGACGTTAATTTGGGAGAAATTCTGTATTAATGCTTCAAATATTGCTTCTGTTCCTCTCTGTCTTTTCTTACTCCTTCTGATATTCCCATTACATATATGTCACATCCTGTGTACCTGTACCATGGTTCTTAGCCTGTCTTTTTTTTTTCAGTCTTTTTTTCTCTTTGCTTTTCAGTTTTAGAAGTTTCTATTGTAATATATTTAAGCTCAGTGATTCTTTCCTTGGCTGTGTCCAGTCTACTAACAAGCCCATCAAAGGCATTCTTCATTTATGTTGCAGTATTTTTTATCTCTATGATTTGTTATTCTTTCTTAGACTTTCAATCTCTCCACTTACATTATCCATCTTTTTTTTTTTTTTTTTGCATTTTGTCTACTTTTTTCATCAAAGCCCTTAGCATATTAATCACAGTTTTAAAATAAATCCTAGTCGGATAATTCCAACATTCTGCCACATCTGACTGATACTTGTTTAGTCGCTTCAAACTGTGTTTTTTGCTATTTAGTATGCTTGCATTTTTTAGTTGAAGGGTAGACATGATATGCTGAGTAAAAGGAACTGTGATATATACGCCTTTAGTAAAGTAATGGTAAGGTGTGAGAGGAGGGAAAGTGTCCTACAGTCCTATGATTAGGTCTCGGTCTTTGGTGATCCTGTGCCCCTGGACTAACAACTTCACCAGTGCTCCTCAGTTTTGTTTTGTTTTTTCCCTCCTTAAATGGGACAGGATTGCTAAAGGGGATGAGAGTTGGGTATTTTTCTTCCACCATGTGGAAGGCTAAAGAGAGCTGGGAGTGGCTATTTCCCTTCCTCCAGATTGGTTCAGCACTGGTAAAACCCCAGCAGGTTAGACTGTGGTAAAATAGTTTCTCCTGAGGGTAGACTTTGTTAGAAGAAAAAGAATCTTCTGGCATATTTCACAGTGGTTCCTTCTCCCCCCTCCCTACCAGAAGCCCAGGGGGATTTTTCTGAGATATTCACTGTGAGAATTTAGTAGAGCTCCAGGAGGTAAATCTCACAATATTTTCTCCCCCCACAACCCCCAACCTCTGCATTATTGGATCCCCCTGGAATTTTTATCTCTTGGGCTTATCCACAGTGAACTTCCAGCAATTCATCAATTACAGTTTGGATTTTCCTACCCAGCCACTAGTTCCCATAGTGTTTTCTGCTCATGAGTCTCTGGCCAGTTATGATTTTGTGTATCTGCCTGTCATTCTCTCCATTCTTGAAGGCAGTGGTTTGCCCTCTAAGCTCACTTCTCTGATGGATCTAAGAAGAGTGGCTGATTTTTCAGTTTTTTAAGCTTTTGACTAGTTGTTAGGACAAGGTAGCAACTTCTAAGCTCCTTACATACCAGACTGAAAACCAGAAGTTCCCATATGATCTTTTTTGAAGCTCCAATCATCCTCTCTTTAGCCACTGAGACAGAGACTCTTCAAGTCAGCTCCCAAGTCCTTTTGCCATGACTCTAGTAATCTTTAATAGCCTCCTTGCTATCCAGGCTCGTTTTGTAAATCTCCTGCCTCAGACCTAGAATCAGCCATTTCCCTCAAAAAGCCTGGTTTCTTTTAGTGAAATTGTATTTTAAGACTATATTCTGGGTGCTAGAAGTGCTCATTATTACTGGATTTCTAATTGTTTCTAGGGTTCTAGGCCGTATGATACTTTCATTCAAATTTAGGGATATAGGGCTGCTGTTGTTATTTAGTTTGTTTCTCTCTTTTTTTTAATAACATTTTTTACATTACATCTTTATTCCATACCAAGAATCTCAGTTCCTAAGGACACATGGGATGATAGAATTAGAAAACTTTGGCTGGGCATGGTGACTCACACCTGTAATCCCAGCACTTTGGGAGGCCAAGATGGGCAGATCACTTGAGGTCAGGAGTTCAAGGCTAGAATGGCCAACATGGTAAAACCCTGCCTCTGCTAAAAATACAAAAATTAGCTGGACTTGGTGGAGGCGGAGGTTTCAGTGAGCCGAGATCATGCCACTGCACCCTAGCCTGGGTGACAGAGCAAGACTCTGTCTTAAAAAAAAGAAAAAAAAATTGTAAAACTTCATAATTATTTATTTTATTCAATGTCGAATACACAGTATCAGAATACTAATACTAATGCTAATGCTGCAATTATAATTAGGGAGAACAAGTTTTTAAAATAGTTTTTTTTTTACAAGTGTGTTACTAAAATAGTTTTTCTTTTTCTCTTTTTTTTTTTTACAAATGTGCTCACTATTCCTGCCCAATCCCAATTTTGAAGTTCTCTCATATCTATACTGCCTGAGCAGACAGATACAGATATTACATATTATACTCTCTTTTAATTCTCATTTGGTCTTGGTTATACAAGATAAAGGTTTGAAATGAGGGGTGGTCTAGACCCATGATATCAAAAGTTGGATTCTACAGTCACCCCACCACAATCTGGGTTGGGCAGACACTCATTTTATCAGAACTGGAGATGAGGACTACTTGACCAAGAAATTTTGCTCCTCAAGGTTAGATGGTGCACCAAGGATCACATAGGCTCTTTCTGCTAATTACCATCTCTAGCATGCTTCATAGACAGTGTCTATATTATCAACATTATTACTGCTGTTGTTTCAGTAACCAACATTCCTGACGAGTACTATGCCTTCCTTATAACAATAAAGATCAGAAGGAAGGAATCCAATGGAATTCTTCCAAGTAGATTTCAGAATTTCAAAAGCATAGGTATGTCAAATGGAAAAAAAAGGGATATGGAGTCATCAACAAGAAAGTAGTATGTGATGACATTAGGGACAAACCAGAAAAAAACAGAATGATAAGTGCCTGATAATAACATTAATATAACTAATGTTTATTTATCATTTACTATGTGACAGGCACAATACTAATTACCTTATCATAGCATTATCATATTTAATCTTCACCACAATACTATCAAGTAGGCACTATTTCCTGCTATCTATAGATGAGGAAATTAAGGCTTTGTAACTTTCAATAAGTTGCTCAGTATCACACAACCGGGGCTAGGACTCAAATCCAGTCTATCTCCAGAGTTGGAGCAAATTCATAATATCAATAATAATTACTATTTAATAAATATCACTGATGTGTCAGGCACTTTATATACATCATATTTATTTCTCACTGCACCCCGGGGAGGTAGCTATTACAGACATTTATAGGATATTACTGTATTAACTATTAATAATATCTTGATATAGAGTTACATTCAAAAGTATGAAAAGCCAATACTGAATTTCCTCAAAAGTAAATCATCATTAGCATCTGTTTCTCCTCCTGCTCCTTCTGTGAAAATGGGCAGTGGGAAAGAATGGATAGAGTGTGGATGTCAAAGCCAGACAGGCCTAGCTCTGACAGACTTGGGATCCGACTCCAACACAGTTGGGAAAATAGTAATGGAAGAGATCCCACGAGGGGCACAATTCTCTAACTCTTTTGTAACCTTCATTTAGTGTGCTGTGGATATTGCAGCTTGTTTGTTGGGGAGTAGAGTGAAACCTCAGGTCTCTAAAATGTATTGGAAAGGTTAAAAGCAAATGCATAGAAAGAGGTAGTGTTAGAGAATAAACATAATTCAAAGAAAGATCGGAACATTATTCTTTTTTGAGATGGAGTCTTGCTCTGTTGCCCAGGCTGGAGTGCAGTGGTGCAATACTGGCTCACTGCAACCTCTGCCTCCCAGGTTCAAGCAATTCTTCTGCTTCAGCCTCCCGAGTAGTTGGGATTACAGGTGTGTACCACCACACCCAGCTAATTTTTGTATTTTTAGTAGAGACGGGGTTTCACCACGTTGGCCAGGCTGGTCTCGAACTCCTGACCTCAGGAGATTCACTCACCTCGGCCTCTCAAAGTGCTGGAATTACAGGTGTGAGCCACTGCACCCGGCCTCTGAATGCTATTCTTTGCAAATAACAAACCTGAAAACCTGGAAGAATAAGACAGCAACTTTCTATAGTAAAGATGAGTTCCTAGAATTAGGAATATGACAGGGAAAACTTTGATTATTTGGGGAGGAAAAACATACTTCTAATGTTATGCAACTTGTCCTCATTGCTTAAGATGTGGTTTGAAGTTCCAGTTTGCAAATTATTCAAACTTGTTGCTTTTCTTTCTACCATTGCCTTCTTTGGACCACTTTATTAACTATTTTCAGGATTATCAGTGGGTGCGCAAGGAAAGGGAAAAGAAGATGGACCCGTGTCCATAAAGAATTTCTTTTCTTTATTATTATTATTTCATTTTTTTTTTTTTTTGAGACAGAGTCTCACTCTGTCACCCAGGCTGGAGTGCAGTGGTGCGATCTTGGCTCACCGCAACCTCCACCTCCCAGATTCAAGCGATTCTCCTGCCTCAGCCCCCTGAGTAGCTGGCATCACAGGCATGCACCACCACACCCAGCTAATTTTTGTATTTTTTGTAGAGACAGTGTTTCACTATGTTGGCCAGGCTGTTCTCAAATGCCTGACCTCAGGTGATCCACCCGCCTCAGCCTCCCAAAGTGCTGGGATTACAGACGTGAGCCACCGCGCCTGACCCCATAAAGAAATTTTGATAAAATATTTGATAAAAGAATGGCAAAGTGGATGAAAACCCCGGTTAAAATTAATTTTCTAGTTAGCTGAGTGATTCAAACACCCGTGATTAGATGAACACTTGGAGCCACAGTGGGGAATCTGTTGGTTCACTGGTATAGCTTGCTTGACTAGGGCACCAACTACACACACCCTCTTAATTTGCAATTTGCCCCTTCCCTAAAGGTTTATAATATAAAGATTAGAGCACATGCAACCATACCTGGGGATAACTGTAACACAGGTGGGATGAGAAGATGAGTACAGTTACCCGGGGTAGGAGACCTGAAAAGTCCCTCTTTGCTTTGTGCCGGATTCCCTCACATGTGCTATAATCAATCTCCCCAAAAACCTTACCCAAAAGTCTACACTGTGGGGAATTCCAGAAGAAAAGGAGTCTGTTCTTGTTAGAATGAAGATCCTGTACATGTCAGGAATCTTAGTTACTAAAACAATAGCAGTAACAATGTTGATAACATAGACACCCTCTATTAACTGTGCTAAAGATGGCAATTAACAGAAATAGCCTAGGTGATCTTTGGTGTGCCCATCTAACCTCGAAGAGCAAAGCTCACAGTCAAATAGTTCTCATCTCCAGTTCTGATAAAATGAGTATCTGGCCAGTCCAGATGGTGGTGGGGTGACTGAATTGGTGGTAGTAGGGTCCAACTCTTGATTTCAAGGGTCTGAAAAATCCCTCAACCCTTTATCTTAGCAAGTTCCATGATGCTTCCATGGGCAATCCCCGCTGGTGTTACGAAGAGCTTGCGGGTACTACCTAGCTCCATGCTCCATCCACAGGGTCAAGAGAGCCTCTGTTTAGTGGCTATTACCCTGGATCAGCTCTGGCCTCATTCTCTCATCTTCTGCAATTCCCAGTGCATTCACTGTGGACCTCTACACACAGTCCCAGCCACTTCTCCTCACGCAGTTTTTGATCCCATCCTGACTGGGCAGGGAGTTCAGTATATCACAGGCTTAGTGTCCCCAACAATCTCATCTCATGGAGCTGAGAAGTAAGTTTACAATCTAAGACCTGAAGTCTGACTCCCTGTTTATGCCTGTTGGGTGCCTGTGTGGCCTGTCTCTTCGTTGCTTGATTCATTTGGTTTCTGGGACAACCTAGTGTGTCCAGAATTGGTGGGTTCTTGGTCTCACCGACTTCAAGAATGAAGCCACGAACCCTCACGGTGAGTGTTACAGTTCTTAAAGGCGGCGAGTCCAGAGTTTGTTCCTTCTGATGTTCAGATTGTTCAGTTTCTTCCTTCTGGTGGGTTCGTGGTCTCGCTGGCTCAGGAGTGAAGCTGCAGACCTTCGTGGTGAGTGTTACAGCTCATAAAGGCAGTGTGGACCCAAAGAGTGCGCAGCAGCAAGATTTATTGCAAAGAGCAAAAGAACAAGGCTTCCACAATGTGGAAGGTGACCCTAGTGGGTTGCCACTGCTAGCTGGGACAGCCTGCTTTTATTCTCTTATCTGGCCCCACCCACATCCTGCTGATTGTTCCATTTTACAGAGAGCCAATTGGTCTGTTTTACAGAGAGCTGATTGGTCCATTTTGACAGGGTGCTGATTGGTGCATTTACAATCCCTGAGCTAGACACAAAAGTTCTCCACGTCCCCACTAGATTAGCTAGATACAGAGTGCTGACTGGTGCATTTACAAACCTTGAGCTAGATACAGAGTGCCGATTGGTGTATTCACAATCCCTTAGCTAGACATAAAGGTTCTCCAGGTCCCTACCAGATCAGCTAGACACAGAGCGCTGATTGGTGCATTTACAAACCCTGAGCTAGACACAGGGTGCTGATTGGTGTGTTTACAGACCTTGAGCTAGACACAGAGTGCTGATTGGTGTATTTACAATCCCTTAGCTAGACATAAAGGTCTAAGTCCCCACTAGACTCAGGAGCCCAACTGGCTTCACCCAGTGGATCCCGCACAGGGGCCACAGGTGGAGCTGCCTGCCAGTCCCACGCCTTGTGCCCGCACTCCTCAGCCCTTGGGTGGTTGATGGGACTAGGAGCCACAGAGCAGGGGGCGGCGCTCATAGGGGAGGCTCGGGCCGCCAGGAGCCCATGGGGGGGGTGGGGAGGGCTGGTTGGGGGGGTTGTGGGGGCGAGGCTCAGGCATGGGGAGGTGCAAGTCCCGAGCCCTGCCCTGCAGGGAGGCAGCTAAGGCCCGGTGAGAAATCGAGCGCAGCGCCGGTGGGCCGGCACTGCTGGGGGACCTGGCGCACCCTCTGCAGCTGCTGGCCTGGGTGCTAAGCCCCTCACTGCCGGGGGCTGGCGGGGCCGGCCTGCTGTTCCGAGTGTGGGGCCCGCCAGGCCCACACCCATCTGGAACTCTAGCTGGTCCGCAAGCACGGCGCGCAGCCCCGGTTCCCGCCCGTGCCTCTCTCTCCACACCTCCCCGCAAGCTGAGGGAACCGGCTCCAGCCTCGGCCAGCCCAGAAAGGGGCTCCCACAGTGCAACGGCAAGCTGAAGGGCTCCTCAAGCACGGCCAGAGTGGGCACCGAGGCCGCGCCAAGAGCGAGCGAGGGCTGGAGGGCTGCCAGCACACTGTCATCTCTCACTAGGACTTAATGTTCCTGAGGAACATGGGAGGGTGATCATGTTGACCTATGAGGCATACCTCTCCTTGCTGCCTGGCTTCCACCACCCCAGTCCTAAATTCCTGCCAGTTACCCTGTCCAGAATGTCAGTGCTGATGCTGAAAATCAAAGCTCAGCAGAGTGGCTGGAGCTGTTTTTTTCTAGTTTGGGGCCACTCCAGGCTTGTGGGGTACTCCAGGCTTTGGGTTTTGGCTGCAGTCTTAATTCCCTCTTGCTGTGCTCCCTGCCCACCTCCAACCTACCTTCCAATGCCAAGTTTTCTGAAATTGCGTTCTGCTGGTCTGGGATTCCATCCAGAGCCAGTGTGCTGCAGCAGGAGAAGGCCCAGAGGTAGATTCACCATGAAGCTTGCTCAGAACGTTTAAACTTCAGGGTACCTCAATCACACAGGCCCCTGTGAGTGCTGAAACTTGTATAGTGACCTAGGTGGGGAGAGAAAGCCACGTTGTGATCAAGAAGAATTTCTGCTGGTAAATTGCCCACAGTGATCTCAAATAAAAAGGATATAAATCTCCATGTAAATAATAATTATTGTCTTTTTTTACTCATTCTAAATATTCTAATATTCTATTCACTTCCATATGTAAATTTGTATTTATAATCTTTGTTATTTTTCTTACAGAAAAACTATAAAATTTTAAAAGCATCTGGCCCCACAAAACTTGGATCTGCCCTTGGGAAGATCCATGCCCAAGCCCCCATCTCCAGAGATGATGATTTAATTGATCTAGGGCAGTGGATCTCAGCTAGGGTCAACCCACCTGAGATCCATTCAGGGGATGTATCTCCCAGTCACCCACAACCTCCCCCACTCCCACCCACCAGGGGATGAAGATTTAACAATGTCTGGAAACATTTTTAGTTATCACAACTTGGGGGTGAGGGCTTGTTATTGACATCTAATGGGTAAAGACCAGGAATGCTGCTAAACATCTCACAAAGCACAGGAAAGTCCCCCACAACAAAGAATTCCCTGGCTCAAAATGTCAGTGGTACCACAGCTGAGAAGCCCTGAACTAGGATGGGGTTCTGAGCCTCAGCATTTCTCAAAATCTTTCAAATCAATTAATTTGAACATACAACCCAGGTTGCGAACAAGAGTTGTACAGATAATAACAGTAGTTAACCTTTACTACTGAGTACTTACTATGTGTCATTGTTTTCAATGAATTAACGCATTTAGTCATTTAGTCTTTGGAATAAGCTTATCAGATAAGGTTGGGTTTTTTTGTTGTTGTTTCTTTGTTTTTGTTTTTTTTTTTTTGAGATGGAGTCTCGCTCTGTTGCCCAGGCTGGCGTGAAATGGCGTGATTTCGGCTCACTGCAACCTCTGCCTCCTGGGTTCAAGCTATTTTCCCACCTCAGCCTCTCAAGTAGCTGGGATTACAGGCACACGCCCACACCTGGCTAATTTTTGTATTTTTAGTAGAGATGGGGTTTCACCATGTTGGCCAGGCTGGTCTTGAACTCCTGACCTCAAGTGTCCCCCTGCCTCAGCTTCCCCAAGTCTTGCGATTACAGGTGTGAGCCACCACACCTGGCCTCGGATTATTATTGTTCCCATTTTACGGGTGAGTAAACTGAGGTACAAAATATTAAGAAATGTGCCCTGGGATTCAAACCCAGACAGTTGGGCTCCAAAGCCTGAGCTGTTAACTAGTATTGTGTACCTGACCCTGCTTGACTGGCTTACTTCCTCCCGCTGGAGATCTCTATGGGAGAAGGGAGGTAGAATCCCTGCCTGCTCCCAGAGTGCAATTCTCTGCCCGCACCCATTACTGGGAAGCAAAAAGAAGTAGGTACAGCTGAAATGAGGAAAGAAATATAGCACCATTTGGACCTGTGTGCCAAAGGATAACCCGCGAGTTGGGGGTGTGGGCATTTGTTCCAGTTTTGCAGGTATGTCTTTGTCTAGTTCAATTTACTGGATGCAATTTCTTAAAATGAAAGTTTTATTCAGAAATAGCAGAGCCATGTTCAGGTAAGAGCTCTAAAAAAAAATACTTTGGCCCACTAGATTATAAATAATTGTAATTGTTGCTGCCATCACCAGCTCTAGAGCCATAATGGGCTGTATGGCAATGTACCTTTCACAGATGGCTGTCTCTAATTGAAAGCCATGCCAAACAGCTGTCAGAAATGCTGACTACCAGACTGGGGAAAGTACTGCCAAATGGGAAGAATGCAGACAAGGACTGTGGCAAAATGGTAGAAATATGTAACCGAAGATGACTCTCTCTTTATTCACTGTTATAAAATGCTCAAGCGAAAAAGGAAAGTGCACCAGTACACTTGAACTTCTTAGTTCAGGTCCACAAAACTGAGAATAAGAGGACAGTTTCAGCCTTCAGTGGAGGGGACGTGGTGGGGATAAGACAAAGACACAAGCATTTCTGAAATGAAATAGACTATAGAAAGAGGTACAATAAAAGGCTATGGAAATTCCAAACTTGAACAGGAAACTTGAGTCCCACATGAGAACCACAGCTATGGCCAACTCTGATTTCAGCCTGTTAAGATGTTGAGCAGAGAATTTGGCCTCAACTTCTGATCTACAGAAACTTAACAAATTTGAGTTGTTTTGAACTGCTAAATTCATGGCAATTTTTTACATAGCAATAGAAAATGAATACAGTGGGCCGGGCACGGTGGCTCACTCCTGTAATCCCAGCACTTTGGGACGCCAAGGCGGGTGGATCTCTTGAGGTCAGGAGTTCAAGACCATCCTGGCTAACACGGTGAAACCCCGTCTCTACTAAAAATACAAAAAATTAGCCGGGCATGGTGGCAGGAGCCTGTAGTCACAGCTACTCGGGAGGCTGAGGCAGGAGAATGGTGTGAACCTGAGAGGCAGAGCTTGCAGTGAGCCGAGACCGCGCCACTGCACTCCAGCCTGGGCAACACAGCGAGACTGTCTCAAAAAAAAATATTAAAAAAAAAAAAAGAAAATGAATACAATGGGCCGGGCGCGGTGGCTCACTCCTGTAATCCCAGCACTTCGGGAGACCAAGGCTGATGGATCTCTTGAGGTCAGGAGTTCAAGACCATCCTGGCCAACATAGTGAAACCCCATCTCTACAAAAAATACAAAAAATTAGCTGGGTGTGGTGGCATGCACTTGTAATCCCAGCTACTTGGGAGGCTGAGGCAGGAGAATCGCTTGAACCAGGGAGGTGGAGGTTGCAGTGAGCTGAGATTGTGCCACTGCACTCCAGCCTGGGCAACGGAGAGAGACTCTGTCTCAAAAAAAAAAAAAAAAAAGAATACAATGAATTACAGAATTACATTGATTGATTTCTTAATGGTAAACCAACGTTACATTCTGGGATACACCCTATTTGACCATGATGTGTTGTCCTTTTATATACTGTGTTGTCTTTTTAGCAAATTTTGATTTGCTAAAATTTTGGACAGAATTGTTTATATATGCGCATGAGGGACATGGCTCGAAGTGAAAGCAATGAGAAATTTGAAGGACAAAGAAATGGAAGTAGAGACTGGGCATGGTGGCTCATGCTTGTAATCTCAGCAATTTGGGAGGCCAAGGTGGGCAGATCATTTGACGTCAGGAGATTGAGACCAGCCTGGCCAACTTGGTGAAACCCCATCTCTACTAAAAATACAAAAAAATTAGCTGTGTGTGGTGGTGCATGCCTGTAATCCCAGCTACTTGGGAGGCTGGAGCAGGAGAATTATTTCAACCTATGAGGTAGAAGTTGCAGTGAGCCGAGATCACGCCACTGCACTCCAGCCTGGGTGACAGAGCAAGACTCTGTCTCAAAAAAAGAAATGGGAGTAAGGAAGGTGAGAGAACAACATAAGCAAAGGTGGGAAAATGTCAGATTTTGGAAACCCACCTATAGTTTAATTTGGCTGGATAACCCCATCTAGGGAGGAAGACAAGTGGTAGGAATGAGGCTGGAAGACCTAGGGAGTAGAATGCATCCTTCATTTGGGAGACACATTAAAGAGCCACTGAAAGTTGTTGGGGCACATGACTCGGGGGGGCATGCCAGCAGCAATGTATAGTTTGAAGTGTGCCAAGCAGAACCTGGAAGATGGTAGCAAAGCCCTTGCAATTGTCTGACTAGAGAACATTAGAGCCCAGGCAAGGAAGCAAAAGATGGAGGAATAAATCCAGCCCTTAGCCCTCATGTTGCTAAGCCTGGATGCTAGATTGGCCCTGAAAGTGAGAAGGCAAGCTGAGAGAAGCTCTCAACTGGGCCTTAATACAAGTAAGAAGGTTGATTGGAAGGGTGGAGTTGAAGAGAGAGAACTCTTTGGGTACCTAAAAGCATCAGCAGCGCTTTTCCTATTATCTGGTGTTTGCAACCAACCACTGAAGCGCAATCTGCAAACTGCCGATCAGCTACAGGTCCAGCTGTCCATGTTCCTGCTGGATCCAGGCCTGGTTGGGTAGGCCCCAGAGAATACAGTTACTAATGGTGGCCTAGGAGGAGCAGCCTCCAAAACCCAGCCCAGAAGGACTCCAAGAAACGGGTTTGAGTTTGCTTTCCACTCTGGGATGGGATGTGGTTCAGCTCAATAGATGAAACACAGGAGAAGGGAAAGGGGCTCAGGGAGCAAAACTGTGCTCACCCAGTAGGGGCTTAAAGCATCTCTCTTGGGTTTGTGGTCCCAATGCAGAGGCTGATAGGAAGGACTTCTCTGAGGTGAGCCATCACTAGGCTTCGTACTTATCCTATCACAGAGGTTAGAAGGGAGCATAACAGCCTTGGGGAAGTGCAGCATGTTGGGTTTTATTTTATTTTATTTTATTTTATTTTATTTTATTTTATTTTATTTTATTTTTTATAGCCTTAAATACTTTATCTTTTTTTCTCTTTTTTTGTATTGATTTTTATTTTTTTGAATTTTATCTTTTTTTTCAACTTTTAAGTTCGGGGTACATGTGCAGGTTTATTATATACATAAATTGCATGTAGCAAGGGTTTGTTGTACAGATTATTTTCACCCAGGTAATAAGCATAATACTTGATAGGCAGTTTTTTAATCCTCTCTCTTCTCCCACCCCCCACCTTCAAGTAGGCCCTGATGTCTGTTGTTCCCTTCTTTGTGTTCATGTGTACTCGATGTTTAGCTCCTACTTATAAGTGAGAACATGCAGTATTTGGTTTTCTGTTCCTGTGTTAGTTCACTTAGGATAATGGCCTCCAGCTTCATCCATGTTGCTGCAAAGGACATGATCTCATTCTTTGTCATGGCTATGTAGTATTCCAAGATGTATACGCACATTTTCTTTATCCAGTCTACTATTGATGGGCATTTAGGCTGATTTCATGCCTTTGCTATTGTGAATAGTGCTGTGATTAATGTACGTGTGCACATGTCTTTACGTAACAATTTATATTATGTAACAATTTATATTATATAAAAATCTTTATGTAACAACTTATATAAAAATTGTATTAAACATAAATATTAAAATATAAATTATATTAATTATATATTTATATATGTTAAATATATAAATTATATTAAAGTAACAATTTATATTACTTGGGGTATAAACCCAATAATGGGATTGCTGGGTTGAATGGTACTTCTCTTTAAAGTTCCTTTAGAAATTACCCCACTGTCTTCCACAATGGCTGAACTAATTTACATTCCTGCCAGCCATGTATAAGCATCCTCTTTTCTCCTCAACCTCATCAGCATCTGTTTTATTAGACTTTTAAATAATAGCCAATCTGACTGGTGTGAGATGGTATTTCATTGTGGTTTTGATTTGTATTTCTCCAATAGTTAGTGATGTTGACCATTTTTTCATATGCTTGTTGGCCGTGTGTATGTCTTCTTTTGAAAACTTTCTGTTCATGTCCTTTACCCACTTTTTAATGAGGTTGTTTTTTGCTTATAAATTTAAGTTACTTATAGATTCTGGACATTAGACCTTTGTCAGAGGCATAGTTTTCTCTATGGGAGGCACATATTTTCTCCCATTCTGTAGGTTGTCTGTTTATTCTGTTGATAGTTTCTTTTGCTGTGCAGAAGTTCTTTAATTTAATTAGGTCCCATTTGTCAATTTTTGCTTTTGTTGCTATTGCTTTTGGTGTCTTCATCATGAAATCTTTGCCAGGTCCCATGTCCACAGTGTTATTTCCTAGATTATCATCCAGATTTTGTAGTTTTAGGTTGTTCACTTAAGTCTTTAATACATCTTGAGTTGATTTTTGTATATAGCGAAAGTAAGAGGTCCGGCTTCAGTGTTCTGCATATAGCTATCAATTATCCCAGCACCATTTATTGACTAGAAAGTCTTCTCCCCACTGCTTGTTTTTGTCAACTTTGTGGAAAATCAGTTGGTTTTAAGTGTGTAGCTTTATTTCTAGGCCTCTATTCTGTTCCATTGATCTATGTGTCTGTTTTTGTAGTGGTACCATGCTGTTTTGGTTACTGTAGCCTTGTAGTATAGTTTGAAGTTGGGTAACCTGATGCCTTCAGCCTTGTTCTTTTTGCTTTGAATTGTCTTGGCTATTCAGGCTCTTTTTTGGTTCCATATGAGTTTTAAAATAGTTTTTTCTAGTTCTCTGAAGAATGTTATTGGTAGTTTGATAGGAATAGCATTGACTCTGTAAATTGCTTTTGGCAGTATGGCCATTTTATAAATATTGATACTTTCTATCCATGAGCATGAAATATTTTTCCATTTGTTTGTGTCATCCCTGATTTCTTTGAGCAGTGTTTTGTAATTCTCCTTGTAGGGCTCTTTCACCTCCCTGGTTAGCTGTATTCCTAGGTGTTTTATTCCTTTTGTGCCTATTGTGAATGGAACTGCATTCTTGATTTGGCTTTGAGATTGGATGCTGTTGGAGTAAAGAAATGCTACTGATTTTTGAACCTTGATTTTGCATCCTGAAACTTTGCTGAAGTTGTTTACCAGATATAGGTTTTCTAGGTATAGAATTTTATCATCTGCAAACAGAGATAGTTTGACTTTCTCTCTTATTATTTGGATGCCTTTTCTTTCTCATGCCTGATTGCTCCAGTTAGGACTTCCAATTTTTTTCTTTTTCAACTTTTATTTTACAATCGGGGTACATGTGCAGGAATGTTATAGAGGTATATTCCATTATGGTGAGGTTCAGGGTATGATGGAAACTGTCACGCTGGTAGTGAGCATAGTATCCATGATATAAATAATTTTTTAGCCCTTGCCCCCATCCCTCTCTCCCCACTCTAGTAGTCCTGTGTCTATTGTTTCCATCCTTATGCCCATGTGTACCCATGTTTAGCAACCACTTATATATGAGCATATGCAGTATTTATTTCCTATTTCTGTGTTAGTTTTCTTAGGATAATGGCCTCCTCCAACTGCATCCATGGTGCTGCAAAGGACACAATTTTATTCTTTTTTATGGCTGCATAGTATTCTATGGTATATATGTACCACTTTTTAAAAATCCAATCCACCACTGTTAGGCACCTGGGTTGACTCCACATTTTTGCTTTGGAAATAGCACTGTGATGAACATAAAAGTGCATGTGTCTTTTCAGTAGAATGATTTAATTTCTTTTGAGTATATACCCAGTAATGGGATTGCTTGATTGAATCATAATGCAACTTCTAGTTCTTTGAGAAATCTCCAAACTGCTCTCCATAGTGGCTGGACTAATTTACATTACTATAACAGTATACACGTGTCCCCTATTCTCCACGGCCTCACCAGCATCTGTTAGTCCTTGACTTTTTAACAAAAGCCATTCTAACTAGTATGAGACGGTAACTCATTGTGATTTTGATTTTCATTTCGCTGATGATTAGTGATGGTGAGCATTTGCATTTTTACATAAACTTGTTGACTGCTTGTATATCTTCTTTTGAGAAGTGTCTGGTCAGGACATTGACTTTTGTTCCTTTGATGCATGCAAGCTCCCTGGGAGAGGCACTATATTATGAGTACATTGAGCAGCCACCCCACAATATTCTTCAGGGAACTGCCCTCTACATTCATTCTTTCTCCAGGAGAACTTTCACTTTCACCAGCAGAGGCAGGTTTCTCTAATGAAATGCTGGTTTCCTGGAAGGAGATTAGTGCATCAGTTGTTTTGATCATCTTGGAGCACAGAGAGCTTTGGGAGGGATAAAATAAAGGACTTGGATGGATTGATGAGAGGTGAGAATGCACCTAAGAAGCTGAGCCAATGAAGTGGGGTGGAAGTATGGGAGGGTACTGGGGTGGCACTGGCACCAAGATAAGACTGCAAAGCACAGCTTTGCTTAGGGATCACTCTGTAGCTCATGTAACACTCCCTCACCTTCCCTTCTGCGGTGGTTTTGAAATGTGTCTAATATAGTGATCTGCGTCCCCTTTATTATGGGCTGGACTTAGTGATTCGCTTCTAATAGAATATGACAGAGACTTATTCTATGTTACTTCTGAGACTAAGCCATAAAAGGCGTTGTGGCTTCCATTGTAGCCACTCTTTCTTGAGTCACTTGCTCCATTGGTAGCCAGCTACCATATCACAAAAAAAGGTCCATGTGGCATAAAACTGAGGCATCCTTCCAACAGCTGTGTAAGTTGAAGCATCTGAGAAGTGGATCCGCAAACCCCAGCCAAGCCTTAAATGTTTGCAGCCCCTGTCAACATCCTAACTGCAACTTCATGAGACACTTCAAGCAGAGCCACCCAGTGGAGCTGCTCTCACTTCTGACCTAAAGAAACTGTGACATATATATGTTGGTTGTGTTTGTTTGTTTGTTTTTGAGTCTCACCAGGCTGGAGTGCAGTGGTGGCATCTCGGCTCACTACAATCTCCGCCTCCCGGATTCAAGTGATTCTCATGCCTCAGCCACCTCAGCACCTGGGATTACAGGTGTGCAACAACACACCCCGCTAATTTTTCCATTTTTAGTAGAGACAGCATTTCCCATATTGACCAGGCTGGTCTTGAACTCCTGGCCTCAAGTGATGCATCCACCTCGGCCTCCCAAAGTGCTGGGATTGCAGGCATGCCACCACGCCCAGCCACATGTTGGTTGTTTTAAGCTACTACATGTAGGGGTAATTTGTTACGCAGCAATATATAACTATTATACCGTCCAGCGGGTCTCAATTTAGCTGTTTCAGGTCAATGTAATTCAGTGACTCTTAGCATAGAAGAGCCTGGCAATCAAAGATTGTTGAGTAGGACCAGTCTCTATTTCACATGTAGAAAAATGAGGCTTTATCTGAATAGGGCCAAAGTGCTTTTCTTTGTTTAATTTTGTTTACCTGAAGAAATGCTTTTGAATCTGGGCACAGAAAGCTGTATGTTGCAGTGTGCAAGTGTATACAGAACGCTGAGAAGGGAAACCATTATTCAGCTGTTAAACAGCAGCTTTTTGAGCAGAAATATCAAATAGGACAGGGGACATGTTGCTCTCTGGGGGTAAATCCATGGAATATTTGTTTCCTTTAGCCTGGAGGCATCCCAAACAGAAGGACAAATCTTAAAACTGATTCTAAAAATTATTTTTGCTTTGCCAGAGAGTGGAGCCTCATGCACTTCCTCACATCCTGAGCTTCCATTCACCCTGATCGCAGAAGGATGACTCTAGTTTCACAAGTCTTGACAGCCATTCTTGAAAAAGGAATGAATAACCTTGCTTGATAGGAAGAAATAATTTTGAAAATGGGAGGCATTGTAGATTCTGGGATGAAATTGGGTCAGTTTGTTTCTGGACCAAACACAGCTTGCTCCATCAGGTAAGTCAGTTAGCTGGGCAGTCAGTGGACACATCTGAAGGCCCACTGTGGCCATCACTCTACCCATATTATAAGGGGTTGCTGACCTGAGGAGCTCTTTAACTGTGGCAGTCAGAAGTGATTGCCAGTTGGGGCTGTGACTCTGGAAGTGCTGGGGAAGGAGATAATTGCAGAAATCTTATTTCCTCCCATCTGCTCCATCCTCCTTCCCCATCAGCTGGGAATGTGTGATTTAATTACCTTAGCTCTTCTCCCGGGGTGGGGTAGGGGTGGAAGCCTTGTGCATATTCAGGGGCCTCAACCTCCACAAGAGGCTTTCTTTGCTCCCTATCAGATGCAGTCCCTCCACCTTCTGAATGCTCATTCTACTGTATCTGTACCTTCATTACAACACCAAAATGTCACACTGCCCTTCATGCTATTGTATTATGCTCCCTTATAGTGGATGCTGTGGTGTGCTGCCCAAATCCCCACGTTCAGGCCCAAGGCTCGCATTTTCCCAACTTCTAGGAGTGTTGCTTGCTGAAAGCTCCAGACTCAGCTCCTTCTCAGAAATGTCCCTCCACAGAATGGAGCTGTCTTGTGTAAGGCTACTCCCCTTCCCTGGGGAAAGCCTACACTCTATGACATTCAATAAAGGGCACAGACACCTCTCCCTGGTCTCAACTTGAGACATCTCTGAAGGGCATCTCAGCTTCAGTGTGTCCCATGGAGCCCGCTCAGGCTTATGTTGCATTACAGCTCAACTTACCCACCTCTGCCCGCTTCCTTCAGTCACACACAGATGTTGTTTTGGGGTATACTCCCCAATAAACCTCTTGCCCCCAGTTCTCTATCTCAAACCCAGGGAACTCAACCTATACCACTCCCATTAGGCTGGAAGCGTATAAAGGGCCACCTGTCAAGTCCTTTGTTATCTACCTCCTCCTTCCCTCCTGCTGCATCACCCTGGTACCCAGCACAGTGCTGAACAGAGTAGACCCTCTACTAATGTCTAATGAACAGAAAACAGATGATGACTTGGACAAAGACTGGGCAAGGACTTTCTACTCTCCTTCTCAAGGATGTACTCCCTTTATATCCGAAGTCAACACTGAATATCTTACTGTCCGTAATATGAGAAATATTCACAGAGTATAGAGAATACAAAATATGTACACTCTAGGGTATTACTTGTGTAAAGTGTTTCCTGGAGAAATTCACTTTTCAAAACCTGAAGAATGTTTGTTTTTAAAATCAGGAAGTGTGTCCCAGGCTGACTTTAATCTGTCTGCTTCAGGTCGGCAGGTCTCTGGGGAGTCAGGAGTGGCATCACATAAATCTGTTTTGTTGCAGGCACCCTGGCAACATTTTCTGTGTTGATGAAGAATGTCAACAACTCATTCCAGTGACTCTGCAGGCATTCTCAAAAGATCTGTTTAACTAAATTCTTTCCTTTTTCAGTTCAATGATAATTTTGCCTCACTGAATTTTAGTGGCAGTGCCTGTAACCTAATTGGTGCTGTATTTCTGCTCTCGTGGGTACCATTCAACATTCCCAGGGAGAGGTTGCAAAGCCTTGGTTCCAGACTCCCCTGGTGGATTGGCATTTTACTCCTCTTCCGGGACTTTGACCTTCTGTTCTGCTTGATTAGCCTTGCTGCCCCTGGTGCTTGAGCTGCCCTTCCTAACCACCTTCCTCCCCACAGCACAGGGGGATGTCAGAGGATGCTTGTTTGAACTGGATTATAGATTACACAAATCCAGGAGGTCAAGGTTCTTAGTTGAACTGGTTGTTAACATTTATTTTTGTATCCCCAGGATGTAGCACAGTATCTGGCTCAAAAATGTTTGATGAATGAATGAATGAACAGTCAAAGGATGACAGTTTCCCCCTCAAGACTGTGAAATACCAAAGGCAGTTCAGCCTGGCAAGCCAGTGATAATTTTCCTCATTCTTTGTGGACAAGAAGCATGAGCTGAGCTTCTCAAATCTTCCCTCAGAGCACAATGACCTTTACAGATGGTCTTACCTGTACTTTTTATTTCTTTTTTATTTTTGTTTCAGAGATAGGGTCTCACTCTGTTGCCCAGGCTGGAGTGCAGTGGTGTGATCCTAGTTCACTGGATCCCCAAACTCCTATGTTCAAGTGACCCTCCTGCCTCTGTCTTCCTAAGTCGCTGGGACTACAGGTGTGCGGTTTTTTGTAGAGATAGTGTCTTGCTACATTGTCCAGGCTAGTCTTGAACTCCTGGGTTCAAGAGATCCTCCTGCCTCGGTCTCCCAAAGTGCTGGGGTTACAGGCATGAGCCATTGCCCTGGCCCATACTTTTTACCTTTGTAAATGCAAACACCACCACCATGTTCCACATGGGGCAGAGAATTCTTACCATTAATTATACTATTATATTTGAGCCCCACCTCCAACTACTTGCTAATCATTCTGGCCTCCCTTTACTAGACCGGCCCTGCCCCCACCTCTGAGATTTAATTCCCATCAAAGACTTCCCAGGAAGATCTGCTATCTTCATCCCCAGTCCGGGCACTCTCTAGCCAACAGCTCAGCTGACAAAGACCTCTTAGTTCTCCCTTTTCTCTCTCTCTCTTTTTTAATCGAGGTGGGGGGTCTCACCATCTTGCCCAGGTTGATCTCGAACTCCTGGGCTCAAGCAATCCTCTCACTTTGGCTTCCCAAATTGCTGTGATTACAACATGAGCATGACACCTGGCCAGTTCTCCCTTTTCTAACAAAAAAAAAATTTTTTTTTTTAAGACAGAGTCTTGCTCTGTCACCCAGGCTGGAGTGCAGTGGTGCAATCTCAGCTCACTGCAACCTCCACCTCCCGGATTCAAGTGATTCTTGTACCTCAGCCACCTGAGTAATGAATTACAGGGGCCCACCACCATGCCCAGCTAATTTTTGTATTTTTAGTAGAGACGGGGTTTCGACATGTTGGCCAGGCTGGTCTTGAATTCCCGGCCTCAAGTGACCTGCCAATCTCAGCCTCCCACAGTGCGGATTACAAGTGTGAGCAACCGCGCCTGACCTCTAACCAAAATTTCTTAATTGACAAACCCCATGCCCCATCTCAGCCCCAGATGACTCATTCTATATTCAGTTATGTGAACATATTAATCAGGTGAAACTCCTGTTTTGCATTTCCAGGAAACTTTCATTTGTTTTCTCTTTAAAGTGGCTTTCCATATCTCTGCTCTGATTTATCAATTTTTATTTTACTTCCTCTATTCCAAACCGTGAGGTCATCCTCCCAGCTGGCCTCACTCTTCTCCACTTTGGTTTCCTCTGTGGTTCCAGCAACCTGTGGTGGTGGGCTTCCTTTTCAGTGTTTAGTGTTGTTGACTATTGTAGCTCAAGGGCACAGCCTAGGCTACGAGGTCAGTACCCCCTTGTGGGCCACCTCTGATCCACCCTCTGCCCATGCCCTTCCCTTGTTCCCTAGCTACTGCCTCACTCAACAGAGAAGCACAGAGTGCCTACCAAGGGCCAGGCACAGAGCCGCCTCCTTTGACTACAGGGTATATAGACCTGGGTGTTCCTCACCTCCAAAGCCCACAGCGAGGGAGTCATGGAAACAAACACAATGTGGTCCCTGCATTGTTGGAAAGATCCATGTAAGAGAATGGAGGGGAAGCTCCAAACTAGGAAAGAGGAAAGTGGCGTGGGGAGGCTTCCTAAGAAAGAGTAGGCCTGAGTTAGGCCTTAAAGGATCAGTAGACAATAGCCTGATGAAGATAAGGAGTAAATGTGTATTTATCATTCATCCAACATGCATGAATGATAAGTGCATGCTGAGGACCTGCCATGCGCCAGGCTGGAGACTAGCAGTGAACAAAACAGAAAGTCCCTGCCTTCATGGAGCTTTGCTACTCGTGGGAAGAGACAGAGAATAAGCAAAATAAATAAGTAAAACATAGTATGTTAGAAGGTGATATGTGTTCTACAGAGAAAAATATATCCAGGAAAAGGATTCAGTTGTATGCATAGAAGACGGGTAATTTTAAAAATCCAGTAGTTTTAAATATGGCAGCCAGGGACTGTTATCATAGTGATATGAAACCCTTTCATCTTAATTGTAGCTTTAACTATTTGCAAAGGGCTTTAGTTCTATTAGCTCATTTTATTATTAAAACCATCTTATGAGGAGGTGAGAAAAATTAGTCTTCTGGGCTAGCTGCTGTCTAAATGAGCCTGCTAGGGCTGCTATAGCAAAGTACCACAAACTGGATGGCTTAATCAGCAGAATTCTGTTTTCTCACAGTTATAGAGGCCAGAAGTCCAAGATCAAAATGTGGGCCCCAGGGGCCAGGCATGGTGGCTCACGCTTGTAATCCCAGCACTTTGGGAGGCCGAGGCAGGTGGATCCCATGAGGTCAGGAGTTCGAGACCAGCCTGGCCAACATGGTGAAACCCTCTCTTTACTAAAAATATAAAAATTAGCTGGGCATGATGGCAGGCGCCTGTAATCCCAGCTACTTGGCAGGCTGAGGCAGGACAATCACTCGAACCCCGGAGGAGGAGGTTGCAGTGAGCCAAGATCAGCCACTGCACTCCAGCCTGGGCAATGAGCGAAACTCCATCTCCGAAAAAAAAAAATGGATGGGGTTCCTTCTGAGGGCCGTCAAGGAAAGATCTGTTCCAGGCCTCTCACCTTGGCTTGTAGCTGGCTGTCTTCTCCTGTGTCTTTACATTATCTTCCACTATCTTTCTGTGTCCACATTTTCCCTTCTCATAAGATACAAGCCATACCAGTATCTCACTCTGAGAGGTGACAGCGTGCTGGCAGCCCTCTGCAGCTCTTGCTCGCTCTCGGCGCCTCCTTGGCTTTGGCGCCCACTCTGGCCGCGCTTGAGGAGCCCTTCAGCCCGCCGCTGCACTGTGGGAGCCCCTTTCTCAGCTGGCCAAGGCCGGAGCCGGCTCCCTCAGTTTGCCGGGAGGGGCGGAGGGAGAGGCGCGGGCGGGAACCGGGGCTGCGCGCGGCGCTTGCGGGCGAGCGCGAGTTCCAGGTGGGCGTGGGCTCGGCGGGCCCCGCACTGGGAGCGGCAGGGCTCGGGACCTGCAGCCCGCCATGCCTGAGCCTTCCCCCACGCCCCCCGCCGTGGGCTGCTGCGCGGCCGGAGCCTCCCCGACGAGCACCGCCCCCTGCTCCAGGGCGCCCAGTCCCATGACCGCCCAAGGGCTGAGGAGTGCGGGCGCACGGCGGGGGACTGGCAGGCAGCTCCACCTGCGGCTCTGGTGCAAGATCCACTGGGTGAAGCCAGCTGGGCTCCTGAGTCTGGTGGGGACTTGGAGAATCTTTATGTCTAGCTAAGGGATTGTAAATGCACCAATCGGCATTCTGTATCTAGTTAATCTGGCGGGGCCTTGGAGACTCTTTATGTCTAAATAAGGGATTGTGAATGCACCAATTGGCACTCTGTATCTAGCTCAAGGTTTATAAATGCACCAATCAGCACTCTGTGTCTAGCTCAGGGTTTGTACATACACCAGTCTACACTCTGTATCTAGCTAATCTAGTGGGGACGTGGAGAACTTTTGTGTCTAGCTCAGGGATCGTAAATGCACCAATCAGCACCCTGTGAAAATGGACCAATCAGCTCTCTGTAAAACAGACCAATCGGCTCTCTGTAAAATGGACCAATCAGCAGGATGCGGGTGGGGCCAGATAAGAGAATAAAAGCAGGCTTCCTGAGGTAGCAGTGGCAACCTGGTAGGGTGTGCTTCCAAAGTGTGGAAGGTTCCTTCTTTCACTCTTTGCGGTAAATCTTGCTGCTGTTCACTGTTTGGGTCCACTCAGTCTTTGTGAGCTGCAACACTCACCATGAAGGTCTGCTGCTTCACTTCTGAAGCCAGTGAGACCACGAACCTACTGGGAGGAACGAACAACTCCAGACGCGCCACCTTAAGAGCTGTAACACTCACTGAAAGTCTGCAGCTTCACTCCTGAGCTAGCAAGACCACGAACCCACCAGAAGGAGGAAACTCCGAACACATCCGAACATCAGAAGGAACAAACTCCGGACACGCGGCCTTTAAGAACTGTAATACGCACTGCGAGGGTCCGCGGCTTCGTTCTTGAATTCAGTGAGACCAAGAAGCCACCAATTCCGGACACAACTGAATTAGGGCCCACCCCAATGACCTCATTTTAACTTGGTTACCTCTATGAAGAGTCTAGTCAAATAAGGTCACAGTCTGAGGTACAGGAAGTTAGGAGGACTTCACCATATGAACTTAAGGGGAGGGGGAAACATTCAACCCATAATACTACTCCAGTGACTTTGAACTTAGGTTTCACAGCTCGTGCTGGCTGACTCAGTGAGGCTAGAGGCCTGCGATAGCCTATGCTACACATAAGGGGGCTGATGATTCCCAAACCTTCTTACCTTCAATTATTTATCCAGGAATGAAGGGGCTTCACATAAAGGGCCCTACCATACTCATTCAGAATGCCATATCTTTTTTTAAAATTTTAACTTTTAGAGATAGGGCCACATTCAGTCACCCAGGCTGGAGTGCAATGGCACAATCATAGCTTACTCTGGAACTCCTGGACTCAAGTGATCCTCCCATGTTCGCCTCCAGAGTAGCTAGGACTATAGGCATGAGCCACCCTGCCTGGCTAATTTTTGTATTTTTTTGTAGAGATGGGATTTTGCCGTGTTTCTCAAATCAGTCTCTAATTCCTGGCCTCAAACCATCCTCCTACCTTGGCCTCCCAAAGTGCTAGGATTACAGGTGTGAACTACCATGCCCAACCAAAAGCCAAATAGTTTTATTCTTGAAAAAGGACTCAACAAATCTAGGTTGAGTTATATGTTGACTCCTTTTGAACTCAGAGTAACCCTGAAAAGTCCTGTAGCATTTTAAGGATAAGCAAGGCCTGAGCAAGCTACTGAAGCAGGAACTGAGAAACTGAACGGAAAGAACAAGAGAGAAAGGAACAAATCCAGAGGCATGTGGACCAAAGGAGAGAGTTGAGGTAAGAAAAAAGAGGTCAGGGAGTCAGGACACCTCAGAAACTCACTCTTTTTTCTGGAGATTGCAGTAACACATGCAAATGTGTTTGGAGAGGTTAAAGTGTTACACAATTGTGAAGTGTTATTTTCTAAGGTAGAGTTACCTGGGTATTGCACCCTTTGGAGATGGGTGCTGTTAGGTTTTCTGGCAGACTGTTTCCTAGTCTTTTGTCTAATTTTTAAGCCAAAGGTAAAATATAACGCTTCTGTGAATTGCTGACATTCACCTTTGTTGCTTTGAGGAAGTTGCTTCTTTTAAATTAGCAAGGGTGAAATCTTCCAACTCACAGTAGCCTGTGTACTAACCTAACTGGTGGTGTCAGGTTGGAATGTTTAGCTTTTGCCTGAGGTCCTGACATAACTCTTATAGTAGAAAGCAAGAGAGTTGAAACAAATGTCTCTGGTTCTCACTTCTCATGTCTCTTAGTCTAAGACCCCTGCATATAACAAACAATTCAGTTGCATTCCAATGCCTTTTAACCAGTCTTTTTTTTTTTTTTTTTTTTTGGTGGGGGGTGGAGGGGACAGGGTCTTACTGTGTTGTCCAGGCTGGAGTGCAATGGTGCGATAATGGATTACTGCAGCCTCGACCTCCTAGGCTCAAGAGATCCTCCTGCCTTAGCATCCCAAGTAGCTGGTGTGCAAACCACCACACCCAGCTAATTTTTTCATATTTTTTGTAGAGACAGGGTTTTGCCATGTTACGCAGGCTGGTCTTGAATTCCTGGGCTCAGGTGATCCCCCCGCCTCTACCTCCCAAAGTGCTGGAATTACAGGCATGAGCCACCACACCTGGCCCCAACCAGTGATTCTTAAATGCTACCCAAGACCCACCTGACGGGCTGCAAACTGACCCAAGAAAGCAAGTCTTCCCTTTAGGATGAACTACTGTAAATAATTATCTTTAGGAAGAGCTATTTACAAATTCATCCACACTCATTTTTATGTACATCTAAGACCTACTTACTAAAAGCTTGCTAAGTGAATGATTACAGGTTAACCCAGTTTGGAATTTATAAATAAAAGTCAGTGTGCTACCAAATTTTATTGAGGCTTCTGATTTTGTATTCCCCTGAGAAGTTTGGCCTCTGGAGAAAGCGTGGCCCGACACTGTTGGAGCCTTGCCCATCCCTGGCATTGTGTGGACAGATGCTTTATCATCAGTCTGCCATCAGTGTTGTTTGTCGTGTGTGGGTCAAGGTCTCCAACTGCTGCCATTCTTGCTTCTAATTGTAATTTACTGTTAATTTAGCTTCATCATTATCAAGTCAGTTGGGATTTGTTTGAAGCTTAAGGTGACCAGTGATATATCTTTGTTTTAATTGTATTTTTGGCCTTTAATTTTCTGGTAATTATACCTAAAGACAATTATGCATTGCAATTTGAATATGAATCATGTATGCCTTGATCATGAAAGCACATGTACAACTAATCCCCCCCACCAAGATACTTTACATTGACGCCTCAATAGTATGCTTGCATTATTTTTCCACTTGTATGTGAGAAAGGGTGGAGCAAATTGACTGTGGGTTATTCTGCCCAGCTTAAAGTAGCCTAGAATAGGAAAAAGAAGAGATTGAAAACCACTTTTTTAGACTCTAGGAAACAACAGAATGTACTGCACACTTTGCAAATAGCTTGCAAATGGCACGTGCAAATTCATTTCCCTTGGTAGATGCATGGGAAATAAATATCCATACTGAACCTTTTGCCAGCCCCTACCAGCCACAGGCTCACGGTGATTACAGCACAAGTAATGGAAGCCAATTGGTCAGGCAGCAGAGCTGAGATGGGGAATGAGGGAGGGAAGTGGGACTCCTCGGAACAAAGGTTTCAAGGCAACTGCACCAACAACACCATGCTCTGTAAACAGTGGCAACAGCTCGCAGCAATAAGTTTCTGTTCAGGGTTGTACAGGTTGCTGGTCACACATCCGTAAATGGTCAGTGCCCACAAAAGCCTGAAACAACTTTGGTCATTTTGGGGTTTCTTTGGGCATCCAAGTATGCAGTAATCTCCCCCTACCCCAAACTGGACCTGGGATGCCTTAGCCACAATTTGGTCTCAAATACTTTCTCCCCTGTGTATCCCAGTGAATTATATTTGTATCTTTATTATATTATAGCATTATGTTCTGTCTTGCTTTATAGTTGTATAAAGGTCTAACCCTCCTTGCGGGCATTGTTACTTTGGGGCAGGACCAGGTTTAACCCATTTTTGGGAGCTGGGAAGTACCAGCTTTGGAGCTGGGGGATCGGAAAGACCAGGTATGAATCCCTACTCTCCAGTGCTGTCCACATGACTTTTGGACAATGTACTTCTCTGAGCTTTGACTACTTCATAGGATTGCTGTGAGGATGGAAGGAATCTATTAGGACTGTCTGTGTTCTAAGTATTAAAAACCCAACTCAAACCAGCTTACACACACACACACACACACACACAGATTTATTCACAGAGGTATTGCTAGTTTACATTACAACATAATTTAGAGACTAAAATACAGTTGTCAGGGTTGGATGGATGGTTAGATAGATAGATACATAAATAGATAGAAACATGTATCTCAATTTATCTTTCTCTCTTCACACACACACACTTCTTTCTGTGTGTTGCCCTTATTTTCTCCTACTACAAATGAGCTTCCTCCATACAAAGGGTGGCAATGGTTGCAAATAGTTTCAGTTTATGTTTTTATTTTTTAAATTTTGAGATGGGGTCTCGCTATGTTGACCAGGCTGATCTCAAACTCCTGACCTCAAGCATTACTCCCATCTCGGCCTCCCGAAGTGCTGGGGTTATAGGAATGAGCCACTGCACACAGCCTAATTTCAGTGTTTTGAAAAATAGAGATAAGGTCTCAATCTGTTGCCCAGACTGGAGTGCAGTGGCGCAATCACAGCTCACTGCTGCCTCGAACTCCTAAGCTCAAGCAGTCCTCCTGCCTCAGCCTTTGGAGTAGCTGGGACTACAGGTGCATGCCACTTTAGTTTTATTTAATTTCTCCTTAGCAACCCCAAAGGGAAGGAGGGCTTCTCTTTCCCAATATCCATATATATAAGCCCAAGGAAGGCAAGGGAAGGAGGGCTTCTCTTTCCCAATATCCATATATATAAGCCCAAGGAAGGCTCTGATTGGCCAGATCTGGGCTGAGGCAAGAAGGGTTTTGTGATTAGCAGTCCCATCAGAATCATTGAGAATGGGGAGAGGAAATTTCCCAGAGGACAGGGTATTCGTAAATGTTGTTACCAAAAAATAAGGATTTGGGAGCAGGAGTAGATTTGGGCAGATAAAAGTCACCATCTATTTCAATTGATGGGATGCCATATGTAAGGCTATAATGCCTGGGATCTAAATAGACATAAACTGGGCCACTTGTTTCTTCCTTCTTTCGCCAACCCCCAGTCCCTCTGTTCTTAGTGCCTCCTACCTCCTTCCTTAAATATCTTCCAGCCACACCCAGAGTCATTTCTGAGACTGTTGGGAAACTCCAGCCAGAGGGGACCAAAAAGACCCTGTCCCTCTGCACAGCCTCTAGGAGCAAGAGAAAAATGTGCCTTAGTTCTGGAATAGAAAGAAGTTTTCCAGGGAAATCAGAAAGCTGTAGTTGAAAAGAAAAAAAAAAAGAGCCTGAGAAGCCACTATGAGGCCTATTCTCTTAGCACTTGAGGGATTATGGGCTGGGACACAAGTCCCATTAGAATCAGTGGCAGTGTTCAGAGAGGTGCCAACAGAATGACAAGCAGGATTTCTTTTCTTTCTCTTCCTCCTCCCGGTTCCTTCTTCTCTCACTCCTCTTCTCCCTCTCCTCTGTTCCTCCTTCTTATCATCCCTCCCCTTCCCTCTTCCTCTTCTCTGCTGTTTTCACAGTATCAGATCCCTCCAGGCAAGTCCCTTCCCCTGCCAGACCTTCATCCCTGAAAGGCCACAGTCCAGGGCTAAGGTGTTTGAACACTAAACAAAGAGTCATTGAGCCCAGGCCCAGATAAGGCACAGCTGGGGGCATTGTAGGTCTCAGCCCAGTAACCTGTTCCATTAGGCTTTTCTGTGAGTCGGTGGCAGAGGACACTGTTGGGGAAGACGGTTGTTGATAGACTAGGATTCTTCTGAGCCCTCCTCAGCATGGCACAAGTGTGGCCCTGACAATGGATTCAGTGCCAGGAGGAACCATCTCCCTCAGGACTGGGAGAAGTCAACACCTCAGCAAAGATTTGTGCTGAGTCCTTGTTTTGTTTGTTTGTTTGTTTTCCCATTCAGAGTATATTCCAAGAAGACCAGGGGTGCAAAGAAGGAAGGAATATATGGTTCCTAAGTTCTTGGCCATAGCTGGGGGCTAACTGGTACAGGAGGTTGCACACAGGAGAAAGTCAGCGATGGTTAAGGACCCCCTTCTGTGCAGTTGTGATGTATAGGAAGAGAATGAGATGTGGAATCAGATCTGAATGTAATGCCTGACTCAACTACTCACATACTGTGTGACCTTGGACAAGTCACTTAGCCCCTCCATGCCTCAGTTTTCTCATCTGAAAAAATGAGGACAATAAGACCTCATGGGGTTGCAGTAAGGATAAAACCAGCAAATACCTGTTAGTATGCCATTCCATTTCCCTGGGTCTACTGCCCTCCCCAGGAAGCTGGCGAGTGTATTTTTACAAGTTCATGCCCTGGAATTCGATAGAGTTCGATCAAAATCCCCAGTCTTAATTGCATAGAGAGCTATTTAAGAATGAAATGATGAGATGTCAGGGATTTGCTTCAAAATGAATGGGGGTGTTGCAGAAACAAGATTGGCCATGAGTTGATAATGGTTGAAGTTAGATGCTGGATACATTAGGATTTGTATGTCTAAAATCTGTACAAATTGGTACAAATCTGCACAAATCTGCCTGCTTTGTATATACAGTGGGCTCTTCAGATCTGTGGGTTCCACATCCTTGGATTCTGCATCCATGGATTCAACTGAGGATCAAAAATATTGGAAAAAATTGCATCTCTGCTGAACATGTACAGACTTATTTTATTTTATTTTATCTTATTTATTGTTTTTAGAGATGGGGGTCTCTCTGTGCTGGCCAGGCTGGACTCAAACTTCTGGGCTTAAATAATCCTCCCATCTCAGTTTCCCACATAACTGGGACTACAGGCCCATGGCTTGCAGACATTTTTCCTTGTCATTATTCCCTAGACAATGCAGTATAACAACTATTTACATAGCATTTACATTGTATCAGGTATCACAAGTAATCTAGAGATGATTTAAAGAGGATGTGCATATGTCATATGCAAATACTAGCCATTTTATATCAGGGATTTGATCATCTGTGGATTTTGGTCTCTGCTGGGGTCCTGGAACCAATCCCCCGAGGATACCGAGGGACAACCATACAGGCAGTTCTCAATTTGCATGGCTCCAATCTGCATGGATTTCAGTTTCCATGGTTTAGTTAAATAACATCAGTCACCCCACAACACAGTTCAGATTTCAGTTTCCACGGTATATTAATGTGAGTAATTGCATAAAGTACAAACTTGGCTGCTGGCGCTTCAGTCCCCAAATCACTGTGTAAATAACAGACGCACATCGTGATCAGTGGTCAGTCACATCACTTCCTTCAAAGTCTGTCGGTTGATGGTTGGTCACTGCCCATCTGTGGTTCAGTTCACACACAGACGGGAGCACGTTTCATGTTGCCTCCTTGTCTCCTAGTGATAAACCCATGACATTTTCCCAAAAAAATGGATAGTTAAAAGAGGAAACTGGCCAGAAAGAAAGAAAGAAAATGTACCAAACAAATGAAAAGTGATAACAATAGCAGTGAAATTCGAGACAAACACAAATAGAATTATAGGAGAAAATTCTGAACCATGGGAATGTCGACACCACCACTGTTCAAGACTCTGTGTATGTAGCTAGGGGAGCTAGTGACATCAACATAAATGGGGAAAGTAAAGAGGATGAAGATGTCCCAGAGGAAGTGAGACTGGTGGAAAAAAACCTTCACATTAACCCATTTATGCCTGAGGATGCAATTTTTTGAATTTTTTGAATTTTGAAAATCAGACCTTGGCGATGACCTTGAGCAGTAGGATGTATAAGATAACTCCCACATGCTTAGCATTCCAATAATGGAACACTAGGCATAAATGGGCACACTTGGAGATGTTTTACATCATTGAAAATGCAAAAGATAAAATGCTGGAAGCTGATCCAAATTCAGGAGTGTGACAATAAGCTAAGACATAAAAAAGATGCCCACTCCATATCATACATTAAACAATGAGAAGGCAAGCACTGTTCAAATTATCCAGATACATTTTTTACAAAGAAATAAAACACCTATTTTCAATGTTTCTAATGTTTTAAATTATAATGTACTAAATAAATATTGGGTTTTTAAAATAATTTTTTCATTTCCCTATACATTTACAACTGCAAGTAAGAGCATTTTTAATGCTTTGACAAACATTTTTAAAGGTCACGAAACAATTGTAATTTTCGACATTGATTATTACAGATTGTTTGCATGGCCGTTTTCACAGTCTTGCACTACTGTAGAAAGCGAGGAATGCCATCCTAATTTGAAATTTCAATACGAAATTTTTTTTCAAATCCCCATTCAACCACTTTCTTTTTTTTTTTTTTTTTTTTTTTTTTGAGACAGAGTCTCGCTCTGTCACCCAGGCTGGAGTGCAGTGGCGCAGTCTCGGCTCACTGCAAGCTCCACCTCCCGGGTTCACGCCATTCTCCTGCCTCAGCCTCCTGAGTAGCTGGGACTACAGGCGCCTGCCACCACACCTGGCTAATTTTTTGTATTTTTAGTAGAGACAGGGTTTCACCGTGTTAGCCAGGATGGTCTCAATCTCCTGACGTCGTGATCCGCCCGCCTCGGCCTCCCAAAGTGCTGGGATTACAGGCATGAGCCACTGTGCCCGGCCCTCAACCACTTTCTGATGAGAGTCATTTAACCCTTCCATGCCTCAGTTTCCTCATCTGTCAACTGTAGATAATAATTACACTCTCTTCAACTGGTTGTTGTGAAGATTTAACAAGTTAATACTTGCCAAGTGAAAGGCAAGAGTGAAAGGTATAAATAAATCATGTAATGTTGGCTGCTATTATATGTATTATATGTATAGATCTGAACCAGATGGAGACAGAATACACAAAGTGGTCAGAGAGTGCCGGTGTTGTTATAATCATCACCACTGCCACCAGCAGCTGCCTCACAGCTACTCCCCTTTGCAGATATCCTTAAAGTGCTGTCTTGAGTACCACATAGTACTCTGTTCAGCACAGCTCATTTTCTCTAGGAATTTCCATTTCTGGATAAAGACATATTGATGTTGACCAGTGTTTCTTAACCTTTTCTTCATGATCACCCCTCTCTAGGAAGCCGCTTTAGGCATTTTTTCCTAATCATCTTTCTTATGAAATGTTAATATTATAGACATATGGTATATCTGTTAATGTACTCTATGTATGTTTCTGTTTTACACATAAAAAGAGTAAAATCTTCATTGAACCATTTATTTGCCTGCCTGGGGGAATATCACTGCCATTGAGAATATATGATGTGGATGGAAATTTAGTAGACATGTTGATTGCCTCCTCAAGCCTCTCATCTCCCACCTCCTCACTACTTCTGGCCCACTCCCAGTCCTCTGGTTTCTCTCCTTTCTAAGAGAGCACTAATTTTTTTTTTTTTTTTTTTTTTTGAGACAGAATCTCACTCTTGCCTAGGCTGGAGTGCAGTGGCTTGATCTCAGCTCACTGCAGCCTCTGCCTCCTGAGTTCAAGCAATTATCCTGCCTCAGTTTCCTGAGTAACTGGAATTACAGGTGCCCACCACCACACCCAGCTAATTTTGTATTTTTAGTAGAGATGGGGTTTCACCACGTTGGCCAGGCTGGTCTCGAACTCCTGATCTCAGGTGATCCACCTGCTTCAGCCTCCCAAGGTGCTGGGATTACAGGCGTGAGCCACCATGCCCAGCCCCTAATTTATTGTTGTCTTGAACCCATTGTCTTCCACGTGGTCATGCACTTTGCTAAATCAATTAAGCAATATCCTATTCTCTTTGCTAATGATTGATTAAGAATAGGTGTATAACACAATTCTGGGCAACAGGATGTGAAGGCAGATTAGCCATCGTTTTGTTGTTGTTGTTGTTGTTGTTGTTGTGTTAATGAAAAAAGGTGGGGCTGGTGGGGGCGAGCTCAGTGGCTCATAACTGAAATCCCAGCACTTTGGAAGGCTGAGGTGGGGGAATCGCTTGAGCTCAGAGATCTAGACCAGCCTGGGCAACATGGCGAAACCCTGTCTCTATAAACAATTACAAAAAAATAAATAAATGAGCTGGGCTTGGTGGCACCTGCCTATAGTCCCAGCTACTTGGAAGGCTGAGGTGGGAGGATCCCTTGAGCCAAGGAGGTCGAGGCTGCAGTGAGCCAAGAGCATCTCAAAAAAAAAAAAAAAGGTCAAACTTGAAGAGGTGACCTACCTTTTCCCCACAGATGTTGTCAGGTCTTGATGTGTTGACTTGAACTCTGGTTGCTATCTTTTGTCTATCAAGAGAGTTTGCTTAAGGGCCTGACATGCTGAAGATGCAAAATGGGAAATAATCAGGGTTCTTAATGATGCTGAGTTGCTGACTCACTGAATTAATCAACCCTGGAACTGACCACATTGGGACTTGTTTGTTTGTCTGTTTTTGTTTTTGTTTTGAGATGGAGTCTCACTCTGTCACCAGGCTGGAGTGCAGTGGCCCGATCTTGGCTCACTGCAACCTCTGCCTCCTGGGTTCAAACAATTCTCCTACCTCAGCCTCCTGAGTAGCTGGGATCACAGGCACCTGCTACCACACCTGGCTAATTTTTGTATTTTTAGTAGAAACAGGGTTTCACCATGTCGGCCAGACTGGTCATGAACTCCTGGCCTCAAGTGATCCACCTGCCTCAGCATTCAAAAGTGCTGGGATTATAGGCCTGAGCCACTATAAGCCCAGCTGGGACTTCTTGTTATATGAGGTGATACTTTTTCCTTATTGCTTTGGCTTGCTGAGTCAGTGTTTCCAGTTACTTGTAGCCAAAAAGATCCCAGGCATTATGGGGATAAAAGAGCTATGGACAACAAAAGAATGTTGAACAAATATATTAATAAAAAGTCAAAGCATTTGCGTGAATTGAGGATTGCTGCATTTTGGAGACTAAGACTGGAAAATGTCTTCTTTCTTCTATTCCTGAGCAACCTTGGCCATATTCATAGCTTCAGCTCCCAGATTCTGGAATAACTGGGTTTGAATCCTGCTCATCCATTGACCAGCTGAATGGCCTTGGTAAGTTACCTTTTCGAGTGCCAGATTCCTTTTTAGTAAAATTAAGACAGAATTCTCTGTACTGCATTATGAAAGTTAAAAGAAATAATACAAATAAAATGCTTAGAACAAATCTGACATCTATGTAGTATTTAGTATATGGCAGTTCATTTCTCTTATGCTAATGGCTTCCAACTCTGCCTCTCAAGGTCTGTCTGCTCCCAAATTTTCTTCAGATATTTTCACTTGGATGTTTCCATATTACTACACATTTAACTCATTCCTTACTTCCCCTCCGTGTGTTCTCAGGTGTGCTGGGAGCAGGCAGGAGCCCCACCCTCCCAAGCACAGCCTCAGCCACCCAAGTCGTGGCTGCAGACCTGGGCCTACCTGTGCTCTTGGGAGTGCTGGGAGCAGGGAGGAGCTCTGCCCTCCGGGTGCAGCTACAGTCACCGAAAATCATAGCTGTGGACCCATGTATTTCATTCCACAGAGCATACAGGAACCCTTTCCCCTGGGTGCAGCTACAGCCACCCAAGCTGGGGCTGCAGAGCTGGGTATCTCTGCACTCTTGGGGGCCTGGGAAGGCCCCCTCCCCCCATAGGCTCAGAGGTGTGTGCTCCTGCTGCCTGGTCTCTCCCACTCCTGGCACCTGATCTGATCTTGGAGCAAGGTTGGGGCTGAGCCCAGGTGCTGTCGCACCTAGCTGGATGTGCACACGCTTGGGGCAGTGCTGACATGACAGCCCCCTGCCAGCTTGGCCCCCTCCAGACTTTGGCCACCAACAAGCATGGGAGGGAAGCCTAGGTGGGGCTGAGGGCAGCTCAGCATTGGCCTGCAGGTGCTCCTGGGTGTGAACAGCCTGGGCGTCATTGGCAGTGGGAGGCAAATAGGCTCCTGGGTGGAAGAGGGTGGAGGCCTGGTGAGGCCCCACCTTCAGGCCAGGGAGGGCTTGAAAGCTGGGGGCCAGGCTGCCAGTCCCCACAAATCAGAATGGGAACTTGTGGTGCTTTTTCTGAGCCCACCCATGGCCACCCATGGACCAACTGATGCTCACTTCCTCACCTCTGAGGCCCATGAAATCTCCCAGCTCAGCCAGAGCTGAGCAGATATCAGGATGATCAGCTGCAGAGAGGAGCTACACACTCCAGGGCCTCCTCTCTGCTGAGAGCAGCAGATGTCAGGATGACCAGCTGCAGAGTGGAGCTACCCATACCAGGGCCTCCTCTCTACTGAGAGCTGCAGATGTTGGGACAACCAGCTGCAGAGAGGAGCTACCCTACTCACTCCAGGGCCGCCTTTCTACTGAGAGCAGCAGACATCAGGATGACCAGCTGCAGAGAGGAGCTACCCACTCCAGGGTCTCCTCTGAGCTGTCACTCAATAAAGCTTGTCTTCTCCGTACTCACCCTCCACTTGTCCACATATCTCATTCTTCCTGGAGCAGGACAAGAACTCAGGAACTGCCAAATGGCAGGGCTCAAAGAGCTATAACATAAACAGGACTGAAACACACCCCTTTCTCACCATGTTACAGTTGAAGAGAAGGTGAGAATAGCTGTGGTCCTTTGGGGAGCCGAGACTTTGGAGCTCCTTGAGCCAAGGCTGGCACTCCCTCTTTGGGGCCCTGTGATTCCTGGAGTCTCCAAGCTTCCAGGCACCACTGTGTTCCCCAGTGGCAGCTGTGAGAAGCTGTTTGCAGTGCACCTGGTCCAGCTGCAGCCTTGCAGAGAGCCAGTGCCCATGCTGGCACCTGGAGCTGCCTGCACCACTGCAGCAGCCAGTGTGCCTCACTGTGCACCATGGCCAGACCCCACACTCACTTGCTCACACACCCCTCGCTACTGCACACCTGGCTCGCCCTTGGCAGGTGTGGGATCCAGACCAGTAGTATGAGCCGAGTGCAACCTGCCAGGCCGAGTGGATGGAATGAGCCCAGCAGGCCTGAGCAAAACTCAAACAAAAGCACAAACAGCCACAGAGGTTTCTGGCCAGAAAAGCAACACCCCAAGGATCCTGCAACAAATGTATTTCTATTTTTGTATCTTTCAAAAATGCATCTATTACAGCCCAGCTCCTTGATCCCTCAGGTGCTATAAACAGCCTTCTTCTCTAGTTTCTAAAAGCACTTTGTAGCTCTCATATCACTTCTTCATTATGAGTAAATTACAGCCCTGTCTTCCCCTCTAAACTGTAAACTTCTTGCAAATTGAAACTGTAATGGGTATTTATTGGAAGATGACATAGTATGCTTTCTGCCACTCTCTGATAGTATCCCAAATTTCACTCAGTATTCACTCTCTGGCCTATTGGCTTTGGAGGAAGATGATTCCAACCCCTAGCTCCAGAGATGAGTTTTTATTATCTAGAGGTAATCATTCCCATGCTGTTTGCCAAGCCAACTGGTGTATGCCTGGGTTTCTGAACCATACAATGCATGGCATTTCTCTGGATACAGGAATTAATTTTGGAAAGATCATGTGATCCAATGTGAACCAATGAAGAACAAGGCAATCTTCACTAGGTGTTTCTGGGAAAGGTGTTTCTGGGAAAGGTGTTTCTGGGAAAGGTGTTTCTGGGAAAGTTCTAACTTCCATTAGAACTTTTCCTCTCTTTTGTAAATCCTGATGTCAAAAAGAGCCAATCTGGCACAATGAGGGAAGCCAGTCTGAAGAAGAGACCAGTACATGGGAGATGACCCAAAAGCTACTGAATGAATCTAACCCTGAAGCCTGTCCTACCTCTGAACTTCCTTTTACATGAGCCAAAACAATTGCTATTAAGTTGGAGCCAAGTTCTTTCTAGCTTGCAACATGAAGAGTTCTAGTGGATACAGGGAACTTATCTTCAACTTTGTATCCACCACAGTATCTGCCACATGGCAGGCATTTGATAAATGCTTATAGGTTTGCATGAGCCAGTGATTCTGGTATAGCTGTTTGCTGGTTCTCTGGATCTTTCCTGCAGAGTTTTCCTGTTAGCAGTCTGCCGCATGCAAGTTCCCAGCAGCTCCTTTCCTCATTTGAGCTTGAGGCTTCTGGTAGGAGGATGTTCTCATTTTCAAGAACTGAAACGGAGCTTCCTGAAGTGACAGGAATGTTGTCTATCCAATCCAGCTCTCTTGGAAATCCCTCAATGGACACTGGCAAATCTTAACTCACTGGCTGTCCTCCCTCTAGACTTTGGACTGCCACCTGTTAGATTGCAATTGTAGTTATCATTTCAACAGACTCTCATGAAGTTTTAAACTTATAACTTCCTGGTGCTAACTTTGGAATCACCCTAATTTAATCAATAAACTGTGTAAAAAATCACATTTTAGTTGGGTTATTGTTATTAGGTATTCAATTACCAAATAGTTTTTTTTTCAAACTCCCATACTCTGAAATTATATAACTTCTAAGAAGTCTCCTGCTAATTATTTTCTTTATCTCTGGATGTGGATTAAGAGCTTTATTATCAGTAAATAATATTTATTTTTCTTTCTTTTTTCAATTTTCAAGTACATAATACATTGTTATTAATTGTAGTCCCATGGTATACAATAGACCTCTTAGACTTATTCCTTCTGTCTAACTAAATCTGTGTCCTTTGACCAACATATCCCCAATCCCCTTACCACTGGCCTCCGATAACCACCATTTAACTCTGTTTCCATGAGTCTGACTTTTCCACACTTCATGTATAAGTAAGATCATGTGGCATTTATCTTTCTGTGCCTGGTTTATTTCACTTAACATAATTTCCTCTGGGTTCATCCATGATGTTGCAAATGACAATATTTCCTTCTTTTTAAAGGCTGAATAATATTCCATTGTATATGTAGATCATGTTTTCTTGATCCAAGAGTAATATTTCTAGACTTGGCTATCTTATTCTTTGTCTGATTTCCTCCTGCCCCATTATTTATTTATTTATTTTAATTTTATTATTATTTTGTGACAGAGTCGCACTCTGTTGCTCAGGCTGGAGTGCAGTGGTGCAATCCCAGCTCATTGCAGCCTCCGTCTCCTGGTTTCAAGTGATGCTCCTGCCTCAGCCTCCCAAGTAGCTGGGATTACAAGCCCCCACCACCACACCCAGGTAAGTTTTGTATTTTTATTAGCGATGGGTTTTGCCTTGTGGGCCAGGCTGGTCACAAACTCCTGGCCTCATGTGTTTCACCTGCCTTGGCCTCCCAAAGTACTGAGATTACAAGCATGAGCCACCACGCCTGGCCTATTTATTGCTTTTAATGGTATTCTAGGCCAGGCATGGTGGCTCATACCTGTAATCCCAGCATTTTTGGAGGCTGAGGTGGGTGGATCACAGGAGGCCAGGAGTTCATGATCAGCCTGGCCCACATAGTGAAACCCCATCTCTACTAAAAATACAAAAATTAGCCAGGCATGGTGGCGGGTGTCTGCAATCCCAGCAACTTGGGAGGCTGAGGCAGGAGAATCTCTTGAACCCAGGAGCGGGAGGTTGCAGTGAGCCAAGATAGGGCCACTGCACTCCATCCTGGGCAACAGAGTGAGCCCTGTCTCAAAAAAAAAAACAAATAAGTAAATAAAAATTAAGTGGTACTCTCCATCTTAGGCCCCAGCTACTAGATCCAGAGATTCGCATTGACCCCAAGGCAGACATCCATAGGTGGCCCAGGACCTAGGAAATGGTCTGGTATGAGAGTATCAACCACACCACATTTCCCTATACTGTGCCTGGTCAACCAATTAGATGAGCTTTCAGAGATCCTGAACGTGAACCATAGATAGGAAGAGATACAGACTGAGGGATAAAAAGATAGGTAAGTTTAACCATATTAAATTTAACTACTCTGTTCATCAAAACACCAGATAGAGAGTAAAAAGACAAGCCACAAGGTGAGAGAACATATTTGCAACATTATGTAAAAGATTAATTATTACATAAAAGAATTCCTACAGATTAACATAAAAATGATAGATAACCCAGGAGCTCTCTCCAAAGGTTTTGAATAGGCACAAAAGAGAAACTACAAATGGCCAATAAACAACATGAAAAATATTCAGCCTTATTAGTAATTGGAAAATGTAAATTAAACCCCATATATACACTAGTAGATATTTACAAGGTTGCCACATTAAAACACCTGAAGATAGCAAACAAGACTATGAAACAAAGGGAACACAAATATATCACATGAAGAAGTATAACTGGTACGACCCCTTTCAGTTTGGCATTTCTAGTACAGTACTCAACAGCTCATCAATTGTACTCCTAAGAATATACCCCAGAGGAATCTGCGCACAGGTGCAACTAGAAGTATGTACAAGAATGTTCATGTACATTTTGGCAAAAAAAAAAAAAAAAAGCTAGAAACAACCTAAACATCCATCAGTGAAGAATAGATAAATAACTATGGTATACTCTTACAATGGAATACTACTGAGCAATGAAAATGAATGACCAGTAGCTACATGCAACAACCTGGTTAATCCCAGTGGGCAGGAAGTGGTAAAAGTATGGAAGAGGTATGTCCATGGTCCCTCATGACTGATGGCTTTGCCTTCTTTGAGGTTCTTCATCCATTATCCCCTCTTGCAACATACAAAGTGAGTATTGGATTAAGCCCTCTTAGGAGCAATGCAGATTTCACAGCTTGGTCCTGCTGGTGCAGACGTGGGGGCCCAAGTGCTGCTTTAAGGCATAAATGCTTAAAGAGTTTTTTACTGATGAGGCTTGCAATTTATTTGCCAATTAGTTCCCTCAAAAACTGAGAAGGTTACAGTCAGCTCCATGGACCAGTCACCACTCCCAAAGTTCTTTCCTGGGTATAGTTCTTCTTTGTCTTCTTCTTCTTTTTATTTTTCTTCTTCTTCTTCTTTTTATTTTTCTTCTTCTTCTTCTTCTTCTTCTTCTTCTTCTTCTTATTATTATTATTATTATTATTATTATTGCCAAACTTTTTTTTGCCTCAGCATAAAAAGGACACTGGCTTTCCAGTACATAATATCAATTTTCTTATCGCTCAACTGCTGAGACAATGCCACATATTTCAGATTTTGATAAAAGCAATGCTGTATTTTCTATACTAATTTCTATATTAGTATAACATTAGGTTTCTCTAACAGAGACCAATCAATAATTCCATACCTTAAAGAAAATAAAAGAGGCCGGGCACAGTGGCTCACACCTGTAATCCAGCACTTTGGGAGGCTGAGGCTGGCAGATCGCTTGAGGCCAGGAGTTCAAGAGCAGCCTGGGCAACATGGCGAAACCCTGTCTCTACTAAAAGTACAAAAATTAGCTGGGCATGGTGGTGTGCGCCTGCAGTTCCAGCTACTTGGGGGGCTGAGGCAGGAGGATGGCTTGAACCTGGGAAGTTGAGGCTGGAGTGAGCTGAGTTGGCGCCATGCACTCCAGCCTGGGTGACAAAGTAAAACACTGTCACAAAAAAAAAAAAAAAAAAAAAAAAGATAAAAGTTTGGTTTTTTTCTCACATATCAGTTCAAGGTGGGCATTCCAAGGAGTAGGTGGCTCTGTTCCACCTAATCATTCAGGGATCTAAGTTTTTTCCATCTTGTTGCTCCTCTATTCCCTAGGCCTTGCTGTTATCTGCATGGTCCTGGTTGAATCATTGCTGTGTCTCAGTCTCAATGTGTGGAAATGGGGAAGAGACTGGGGAGGAAACACATTCAGGTGTAGTCCTGGAAGTGACACACAGCACTTGTGCTCACATTCCTTTGGAGGAAATTTATCCACTTGGCCATATCTGACTACAAGGAAGGCTGAGACATGTGACTGGGATGAGGAGGAAAATGGGTTCTGGTGAGCAATTAGACCAAAAATGTTCAATCTCAAGCCTTCAAGTTATTTTGCTGCTTTGAGAATAGAATGAGACTCAGAATATTGACCATAAAGTCAGAGCTACATAGAAGACCAGAAATATAAGACACAGTTCTCCTGTCATGTATATTATCTACAAAAAGCCAAGCAATTTCACATCTTTTTTAATGATTAAAGTAATATATTTACTTTTCTTTGAAAATTTCCCATGTTGGCTATATGTTCATTATCCATTGATCCAATGTGAACAGGGGGGTTTTGATTTTAATTTATTTCTATTCAGCATTATTGAGGTAGAATTGACAAATAGGAATTGCATATACTCAAGTTGTACAACATGATGTTTTGATATATGTATACATTGTAAAATAATTACCACATCTAGGCTAAGTAATGTATCCATCACCTCACATAGTTACCTTTGTGTGTGTCTGTATATGTGGTGATACTTAAGATCTACTTTCAGGCAGTGGCTCACGCCTGTAATCCCAGCATTTTGGGAGGCCAAGGCAGGCAGATCACTTGAGGTCAGGAGCTCGAGACCAGCCTAGCCATCATGGTACAACCCCATGTCTAATAAAATACAAAAATTGGCTGGGCATGGTGGTGCACACCTGTAATTCCAGCTACTCAGGAGGCTGAGGCACAAGAATTGTTTAAACCCGGGAGGTGGAGGCTGCAGTGAGCCAAGATCATGCCACTGCACTCAGCCTGGAGACAGAGCAAGACTCTATCTTTAAAAAAAAACAAAACAAACTACTTTCTTAACAAATTTCAGGTATACAATCTATTATTAACTATAGTCACCATGCTGTACCTTAGGTTTCCAGAACTTATTCATCTTACAACTACAAATTAGTTCCTTTTAGCAACACTTCCCTATTTCTCCCACACCCTGACTTCTGTAATCACCCCTCTGCTCTCTGTTTCTATGAGTTCAACATTTTTTAGATTTCATGTGTAAGTGAGATCATGCAGTATTCGTCTTTCTGAGTCTGGCTTACTTCATTTAGCATAATGGCCTCAAGTTTCATACATATTGTTGCAAATGGCAGGATTTCCTTTTTTTTTTAAGTCTAAAAAAATATTTTATCGATTTCACCATATCTTGCCAAATCAGTGGGGAATTGAGATCTTAAATAATTTTTAGCAAACCAGACATGGGAAAAAGAAATTAATTGTGTGGGGCTCTGATAACTAATTTAAGATATATGAATTTCATATTTACACTCTTTAATTAAAAAAAAAAGAAAAGGAAAAAGAAAGCCTAGCACAGTGCCTGGCATAAAGTAGGCACTTAAATGTCAGTTCCCCTTCCTGTGAATTCCCTTTCAGCATGTTTATTCCTCTCCAGGGGCTGTCCTGGCTCACCTAAAACCAAGTGATGTAATCCAGGATGGCAGAGGGAGCTGCTGCTGCCCAGAGGGCCCAGAGCAAAGGTGGTGGCAGCAATGTAATGTCAAGGGTTGTCTAGTAAAATGGCAAGTGCCACTACTGGGGAGCAGCACCCTGAACACCGAGAGGTGGTGACGACCTACATAACCCATGCACAGCCTTCTCCTCACTCATCCAGGACCCTCCTAGCTGGCTCTCCCCTTCTCACCCCTCTCTCCTCTAATAGCCACATCCTATAGCCTCAAGGCCACTATCACTGGCTTGCCGTGGGAAGGAAACAGCCTGTAAGGGCTACAGCAGCAGGGGGGCACGTGTTATGTAGCCCCCCACTGCAGGAGCTCACCCATTGCATGCGTGCACCTGCTGCCTAACTGATGGGGACAGGGGTGATCCCCCAGTAGGCACTTCACTTCTTGTTTGTTCTGTTCAGGCAGGTCAGAAAGTGCAGGAATGTGATGTGATAGATTTTCCTAAGTTCAATTAGGGCGATTAAATAGATGTCTCTATTTTTGGATGTTTGAGTAAATTCCTGTCTGGATTGCCTAAGCGAAAGGTCACTCCCGTTGAATCTAAAGCCTCATGTTGAACTATGTCCACCGTCAAGAAGCGAGCATCCATAAGGAGAGGAAGAAAAGGACAGGACACCAACGACATTGCTATTTGGGAAGCTCCCTGGGAAAGAATAAGCATGAAGATTATTATGTTGAGCTCTAAAACAAAACACTCAGAACCACACACACACACACACACACACACACACACACACACAAATTGACACCAGTTGTATGTGAAGCCTTGTGCTAGGTATGAAAAGGAAAGAGGAAGAAGCCCTTGTTCTGAAGTCCTTCAGTTGCACAAAGAAACAGGGAAGACAAACTTATCCTAAAAGAAATGTTAGTGAAGTAAAACATAGCATGCTCCATATGTCAGAGGGAAGGGACAGTGAATGAAATGAATCTGGAAAAAAAATGAGTTTGTTTAATCATTCATTTATTCTTTCAATCATTCACTCTACAGACATTTACTAAGTACGAAGTATGTGCCATCCACTGTGATAGGGACTAGAGACACATCACCAACTGGACACAGACCTTGCCCTTCAGGGGCCCCTGGGTAGAAGTGGGAGACAGATAGCTAAGCAAGTAGAAGCAGGAATGTGTCATCGGGGCTATCATAGACATGGGGACAAGGTTCAGGGTGAAGCCAACCAGGAGGGAGTCTGTGGGCAGAGGCCAGGAGGAGGCTTGGGAGAAGCGGTGGCGAAGGTGGCAGTTCTGACAAGCAGGTGTGTGGCAAGCAGGCGCAGTTCTGGGGTGGTGAGAGTGAAGGTGGGAGCTAGTGCTGGGAGACGGCAGAGGCTTAGGAAGCCAAGCTCCTAAAGGAATTTCTCCTGCTCCATGCCATTAAAATGTGGAAAGCAACAGTGTTGTAGGAAAGATGCCCACTGTTCTAGGGAGAATGTGATGATGGAGATAGGTGTGTGACCACTGAACTCTGTGAACTAGCTTCATTGCTGCTGGTCAGCTCCTGTGCTCATCAGAGCAGCTGGCTCTCAGGCTGGTGACACCTAATTGGCACAGGGGCCACCTTGATGATGCAAAGAGCACGCTGTCTCACCAGACCTCCTTTTAGGAAATGTTACTTTAAAACTGCCACTCTGAAGCAGACAGAAAAGAAGCAGGAGCTCCTCATGGACTCTGCATAGGTGCAAACTTGTGTTGGAAGACTGGCTCCTTATTTAACAAATAGACAAAGCACTTGTATTAGTAAGAGCTTATTGGTTGTGAGTCATGGGCACTCAAGCTGGCATAAGTAATAAGAATCAATTTATTATAAAGCTATAGGGCTGTCTCTTTACTGGAGGGCAGGAAGGCCCCGGATCCCAGGAAGAACCAAAAACAGGGAAGTGGGCAGCCACCCACAGGGAGCCAAGTGGTGCCTCTCTCTGTCTCTGTATCTCTCTAGGCATCTGCTTCCTCTTTCTCTCTCTCTCTGTCTCTGTCTCTCCCTCCCTCCTCCCCTCCCTGACCACCTCCTACTCCCATCTTCCTCTGTCTCAGCATAGCAGAATATGACCATCCCTTGCCCTTGCTTCAAATTACAGCTCCCATCCCACGGAAAGCGTGGATCTGTCTTGGACACAATTCCAGATGTGTGCTCTCTCGGGGAGGGGCTCTGACTCAGCCAAGGACAGACAGCAGGGTTCACACTGAATGGAGGGTGCTAGGAGCAACCACTGTGGGCAAGGGGCAGTGAAGAGGGCTCTTGTGAGTTAGGCAGGCACCCCCAAAGCCATAGTTCTTCATATCTCTGGCCCCTGGTCCCTGGAGACAATGGTCACTGCTTTACCTGGCTATTGGACTGATTTGATGAGATAATGTATGTAAAGCAACTGCTGCCCAGTGGGCCCTCAGTAAATGGAGGAGATTATAATTCTAATTCTAATTATTATTATTATTTTTTGAGATGGAGTCTTGATCTGTCACCCAGGCTGGAGTGCAGTGGCACGATCTCGGCTCACTGCAACCTCCACCTCCCAGGTTCAAGCGATTCTTCTGCCTCAGCCTCCTGAGTAGCTGGGACTACAGGTGCATGACACCACGCCCAGCTAATTTTTGTATTTTTAGTAGAGACGGGGTTTCACCATGTTGGGCAGGCTGGTCTCCAACTCCTGATCCGCCCACCTCAGCCTCCCAAAGTGCTGGAATTACAGGCATGAGCCACTGCGCCCAGCCGATTATAATTATTATATTAGTCAATAAAGATATCTGTGATCTGTTTAGGAAAGATTGTGCTTTCTTCCCTCCACTGGCAATGTGCCTTCTTTCCTCCACCAAAGCTGTTCACATTAACACAGAGATGTGGGGCAGGGCCTCTCTTCCTCTCTCAGTCCCCACCCCTCTCATCTCTTGGTTACAACTTATTAAAACTCCTGCCTCCACATGCCCCCAAGCTTTCTTTGCTATTACAAATCAATCATGCACTCTTTCAGCCCTTGCTACCCCCATAGGTACTCATCTGTAATGACTATATTTAGGAATGTTAGGTTCATATGGTGATTAGATATCTTCCCTCTCAAAGTCTAAGACTGTGGACTGAGAGACTTTTCTGAACACCCAGGACATTGCCACACATCTCATGTTTACCTGGTTATATTTGTTGAGTCATCATATTTTCATAGGAAGGGCAATTTCCATTTATAGCCTCATAAAAGGAATCTCAGGAAGTCATTTATTTCGGGTCACTGCCTTTGGCCAGGATAAGACTTCAGCTTCCTAAATAAATGAGTGTGTATTTTATTTGTACTCCCACATAAGCCTATGGTTGTACAATCTGAGATTTGGAAGGGACCTGGAGGGTCTTCTGGGCCAGGCACCTCCCAGGGTGAGATTCTGCTATCCACGCCCCCTGTGACATGGGCATCTGGTCTGCAGGAGAACAGGGGGGTTGTGGCCTTCCTGGGAAGTTCATTCCATCTTTGCTCCTTTTTTTTTTTGACAGAGTTTCACTCTTGTTGCCCAGGCTGGAGTGCAGTAGCATGATCTCAGCTCACTGCAACCTCTGCCTCCCGGGTTCAAGCAGTTCTCCTGCCTCAGCCTCCCAAGTAGCTGGGATTACAGGGGCCTGCCACCACACCAGGCTAATTTTGTATTTTTAGTAGAGATGGGATTTCACCATGTTGGGGCGGCTGGTCTTCAACTCCTGACCTCAGAAGATCCACCCGCCTTGACCTCCCAAAGTGCTGGGATTACAGGCGTGAACCACTGTGACCGACCTCTTTTTTTACAAAATAGAGCGTTCTTCTTCGTATGAAAAATATTAACTCCGCCTCTGTGTCACTGCCATTCAATGTTCCTAATTCTGTAGGACCAGAACTACTGCCTCTTCCCCGTGACACCTGTTCCCCCACACCGAGTGAGGGCGTGTTCATGATACCATGCCCCCTCCAAGTCTCCTTCTCTTCCTCCCAGTTGTCCTTAAGTCCTTCTCCAGAACACACAGTTTACAGACCTTTGTCTCCCCTCTCACACCTTGACATGTTATGTTTCCCTTTGTGAATCTTAGAGCTGAGAATTTAGCACTGCACACACACTCCAGCGGGCTCTGAAGGCGGTGTGGGGGTGGGAGTAGGACCTTCTTTGTTCTAGAGCTAGCTACTGTGGTTTTAGGAATGCTGTGTGAATTTGAGCTAGCTTTTTCTTTTATTTTTGGTAGAACGATCTCAATTTTGGTTCATATTAAGTTTTAAAATCCTCGTTTTTTTAATCATGGAAAATTCAGGGGAGAAAAAGCAAAACATGCAAAGATAAAGAAGAGAACAACAACCATATTGTAACCTTACCTCTTCAAGATAAGTATTGTTCACATTTTGGTATATATTCTTCCAGGCATTTTCTATGCGTACACACATTCTCTCTCTCTCTCTCTCTCACACACACACTCACATGCAGACATGAACACACAGACACACGTACACATGAACACACACACACACACACACACACACACAAGTGGGATTAAGCATCTGTGGTAAATTAAAAATGACTCCTAATTCTTTGCCACTCCCCGCACTGAACGGTGGGGTCTGTTTCCACTCCCTGTGTATCCAGGCTGGGCCTGAGACTAATCTGTACCAATAGATTGAAGTGGAAGTAACACTGGGTAGCTTCCAAGGCTGGGTCTTGAGAGACCTCAACTTCTGCCTTCATCTCTCGGAGCCCAGCCACCATGTGAGGAGGACTCACTAGCCATGTGAAGAGGCGCACATGGAGGAGAATGGAATCCTGTGGCTGAGAACGCCAGTAAAGCTCCAGATGGTCCCAGTACCAAATGTGAGCTGCCCCAGAGCCCCAGTCAGTACCAAGTGATACAGAACAATCCACAGAATCATGGGAAGTAGTAAATTGTCATTTTAAGCCACTAAATTTTGGGATAGTTTGCTAAAACAGCAATTGATGACTGAAACAACTACACAGAAAAATAGTATTACATCGTGCTTACTATGTGCTCGGCGGTTATAATTTTTAAATACATATTAACTCACATAACCCTTACATTAACCTGATGCAGTAAGTACTATGATTTTATATTATTATCCCCACTTTACAGATGAGGAACCTGAGGTGCAAGTGAGCAAGCAATGGGGCTGGGATTTGAACCTGGGCAGTCCATTAGGATCCATGCTCTAAACCATCTGTGCTCTAAACCATCATATCCCACTGCCTCTCTGCTGCTTCCTTTCATTTAAGACATCACGAACAACTTTAATGTCAAGAAATATCAACCTACAACATGATACTTCAAGCTACATGTTGAAATCTGTTGAAATACTGATTTGAGCTCCAAAGTACTAGCAATCTCTTCTAGTTTGGGGATTATCTTCAGTGGATTTATAGCCTATTAATGTCTTTGAGTGTTGGTAATTTTTCTTTTTTTTTGAGATGGAATTTCGCTCTTGTTGCCCAGACTGGAGTGCAATGGTGCAATCTCAGCTCACTGCAACCTCCACCTCTCAGGTTCAAGTGATCCTCCTGCCTCAGCCTCCCAAGTAGCTGGGATTACAGGTGTGTGCCACCATGCCCAGCTAATTTTGTATTTTTAGTAGAGATGGGGTTTCACCATGTTGGTCAGGCTGGTCTTGAACTCCTGACTTCAGGTGATCCACCCACCTAAGCCTCCCAAAGTGCTGGGATTACAGGTATGAGCCACCACGCCCAGCCTTTTTTTTAGGGTTGAAGTTTTTGAATAAGACAGAACTCAGGAATGAGCCTCCATGCACCCACCTGAGATTTTCCAGAGCAACATCATTCAGTAATAGTCTGTAAGTGTAGATTGTTTAAAAATCTAGTATCTGACCAGTGTTCTATGATCTTAGCCACTTGTTCCCAAGTGCAGGGTGAGAGACAGGCCACATAAGAATAACCTGGTACTTACAAAAAAGTACAGACTCACAGGCCTTGCCCCAGACCCCCGAGTAATAGCATTGCTGAAAATGGAGCCCCGGAATCTGTATTCTAACATCCCTCCATGTGATGCTGATGACAGCTAGGTTTGGGAACCATTGATCTAATCACCATTTCTCCTTCTTATCCATATTGATGGATTTATTGAATCCTCTACCAAATTCCAAGTCCACTAAGGGAATTTGCTAGTGACCATTTGAGAAATGTCCTGGCTCTGCTCTTCACCAGCTATATGATTTCATCTCTGGACATTTTTTATCTGTCAAATAAGGAAGTTGGATTAATTATTGCAGTGGATGCCATGGTGCTGTGGTGAGCCCACACATCCCATCTTCAAGATCCAGTCACTCATTCCCTCAACTGTTGGCAGTGTTGGTTGGCTGCTGCCAGTTCTCAGGTGTTCCAAGTTCACGTTTCCTCCAGGGGTGAAGCCCGTGTCCATTGACTGGTTGATGAGGAAGTATAACCTAACCTCCTACACCCTTGTCTCAAGGTGGGCCAACTGTGAAGAGTTGTCCCATGGGTTTGGCCTGAGACCTCTGTTGCATCTACACCACAGTTCAACCCATCCCTCTGCCCTTGCACTCTCTTCACTCCCCCATAGGTGTGGGTCCCAAGGGCATTCCTCAATAAGCTTCTTGCACACAACCTCTATCTCAGTAGTTTCCTAAGAAACCCACTACCACAATGACTGTTGGCACAATGATCTTTTGCTTCTGACTTGGATTGAGTTGACAGCAAAGATGCCTCTTAGGACCTTTTCAAACACCTTGGGCTCGTTGTTGAGCTTGAAGAGCCTTCTTCTCTTCAGCCTCCTCCCATTCATTCTTCATTCATTGAGCAAACTTATTGTACCCCTACTATGTGCCAGGCCCTAAGCTCAGCTGGGTATTCAGAGACTTGCCTGTGTCTCAAATAGTGGAAAAGAATAAGCACTTAGAAGCTGAATGGCTCCTCTGTCTCTGTGATTTGTTATCACTGTGCTGTTTCCCAAGCTATGGGACTAGTCCATCTTCTTGTCCTGAACTTCACCTAATAGGCCTCTTTATTGCCCTGCCCACGGTTTGTAAGGCCCCTCTCTGTAGTGACTTTAATCTTCCTGACACTATTCTTATGAGTTTGTGTCTTTCTTTCTATTCCCTTTTTAGCTTCCAGGTTCCTTCTTCCAGCTCTTGCAGCCAGCGTGGGCAAGGGCCAACATCAATGTTTTATCCATTTAGGACACTAGTGTCTATTTCAGCCTTATGGGGCTTTCAGTAGTAGAAAATTTGGGGAAAAGGGTCTCAAAACCTTCCAGATGGGCTGGGGCAGAAGTAGGGGCTCAGAGTCCAGTTTCCATCCAATAATCCATGTAGGGCCAACCCACCTCAGGCAAAACTGAAATTAATCAGACATTGCTGCTGCCACCCCTCTTTTGGTCAACTCCAGCCCCTGAGGGTGTTCTTCAGCCCCATCTCCCCATTCGCCTTCACAGATCTGCAGCCTTCCTACTTTATTTTCTGAACACTTCCCCCTTCCTTTGCTGTCAATCATTTTCATTTTTTACTTGAATGAGTCTGAGTCACAATCCACCTTTTCCAGGGATTATCTCATTTTAAGCTTTTTCTTTTTTTTTGAGACAGAGTCTCGCTCTGTCACCAGGCTGGAGTGCAGTGGTGTGATCTTGGCTCACTGCAACCTCCACCTCCTGAGTTCAAGCGATTTTTCTGCCTCAGCCTCCTAAGTAGCTGGGACTACAGACACACACCACCACACACAGCTAATTTTTGTATTTTTAGTAGAGACGAGATTTCACCATGCTGGCCAGGATAGTCTCGATCTCTTGACCTAGTGATCCACCCGCCTCGACCTCCCAAAGCGCTGGCATTACAGGTGTGAGCCACAACACCCAGCCTCATTTTAAGCTTTTTCTTACGCCACGTTGCAACCTGAAAGGCTTTGTCCACTGGACAAAGCATCAACAGACACTTAGAATACAGAGGGCTCTTTTTTAGCCCTTTGCAATCACATGACGTCCAAGGGCTTGTCACTGAACCAATGTAACTATCTAGCACAAGAGCAGAAAGGAATCAAATCCAACACTCTCATTGTATAGATGAGGAAACCAAGGAACAGTGAAGTCAAGCAACTTTCCCAAGGTCATTACCAGAACAAGAAAGGAAGACACCTTCTACAAGGAAAGAGTATACAGATGGTACATTTTAGGAAGGGCACGGCCTGTGGAAGGTGCTAATTTCTAGATGCTACTTTAGAGTATGACTTTGATTGATTACTTGCAAAAGTAGACCTATGCTTGTTAGTTATGCCTCTTTCACCTGCTACTCCTCCACAGTTGGTCAAGACCAAGCCCTAGTCATCCTTATTGATTGAATTAGGAGCAAAATCTAGGTTCTAGTCCTCCTAATTCTACTACTTACAAGTTGCCTCACCTTAGGAACGCCATTTAACTGCTGTCTCCTTATTTTCCCAGTCTGGCCTTGTCCTCACCGTTGTGGGGTATCAGGCAAGATAAAGCACACAAAGTCTCTCTGCATGCCGGAGAGCATTTTGCAGCATGAGGAGATGTTTTCTGCCCCACCTATGTACTAGAATCCTCCAAGGAGCCCGTAATGTGAGTGTAGGGGTCAGGGGCAGGCTGGTGACTGGATGCTTTTGTTTAAGTTCCACCAGTGATTTTGATGCACATCCAAATGTGGAAACCACTGACAAAGTACAAAAGACAAACAGGAGAAGAGAAATAAATTGTGAGCTAAAGATGCAGGCATGTTTTAAGCTCTCTTTAGAGTGGATAACTAAGGGCCAACTTAGAGAACAATTAAATTGCCCATCTTTTTCAAGGTACCTGAAACCCTAATCTCAAGTCCCTTTTTTCTTCCTGGAAAAGATGTATATGACTTCAATTACATTACTTTTCTTACCTAGCAATCTAAACACACACTGAAGATTTCACACGCACACACACACACACACACACACACACACACACACACTTCGTGAATCATCTCTGCCTGGTTGCATGCTGAAGTCAGATTCCGAGTAATGTCTGTTATTCTTTAACCTCTGAGTAATCACTCTGGCCCTGGTCTGCTCTTTATCGTCCAGGAAAACAATCTGATCAAGCCTTGGATGATGGATTCATAGTTGCTCAAGTCTCCAGAGTGCTGTATAAACCAGACTATTAATTTATTCCATGGGGATATTCTGTGAAAGTCCTACTTCTCCTTTTTAATAATTGAGTGGCCTCGAGCAAGTCACTCAATCTCTCTAGGTCTCTAAGATGATTATGATCACTAAGCATCACTCTTTACAAAGTATTTCCTTCTTTGTGACATCTCTCTTTAAAATGTCAGTTGAATGTTCTCAGAAACTTGTTGCAGTGGGCATAACATTAAAGAAAATGGGTAAGAATGAGAACAATGAATTTAAGGAACATTTCATTCAGTCCATGGGACACCAGAGTGGACAGCTGTGACTTGTGTCTGCTCAGCACTTCTTCTGCTCTTCAGGGGACAGAACTTCCTTCCATGGGGGAACTGCTCCTTTCTTCTTCCACCTGGTTGTGAGGAGGCTGCTGATCAAAGGACCCTGGCCTCCTCTTCTTCGGCCACAGGGGTGGGCATGTGACCCTGATTCAACCGTAATAACAACCTACTCACCTAGCCACAGTGATTGATCTGGGAATTCATCCAAGGATCAATCTGAAAAGAGAGAGAGAGAGAGAAAAGAAGAAAGAAAGAAAGAAAGAAAGAAAGACAGAAAGAAAGAAAGAAAGAAAGAAAAGAAAGAAAGAAAGAAAGACGGAAGGAAGGAAGGAAAGAAAGGAAGGAAGGAAGAAAGGAAGAAAGAAAGAAGGAAGGAAAGAAAGAAGAACAAGAAAGAAAGGAAGAAGGAAAGAAAGAAGAAAAGAAAGAAAGAGAGAGAAAGAAAAAGAAAGAAAGAAAGAAAAAGAAAAAGAAAGAAAGAAAGACAAAGAAAGAAAGAAAAAGAAAAAGAAAGAAACAAAGGGAAAGAAAGAAAAAGCAAGCCAGGGATTTTTCTAAATTAAGCTTGTAGGGAAAAGTATCTTCCCTTTCTGGTCAAGGCGCTTTATCAATATGACCCCATGTGCCACATGAGAAGGCTGGGAGGACAAGGCCACCAGCCAGAAGGAAGAAGAAATGAGGCAGTGAGAGACAGAGATGGAAACAAGGAAAGGGTCTGTGGTGTCGAGTTCCCAGGTCTGACTCTTCCTGGCGTCATCTGGCAATTGTTCTTTTGATTCCTCGAGCTACCCCAGAGCTTTCCCCAAAAGTCACTCTCTCTTTTTTTCTCACTTAGGTCAGTTTGTTTTAGAATTTCTACCACTTGCAACTTAGTCTTGATGAACAGAAACTCTCCGACAGTTTTCCTCTCAACTATACCTTAAAAGAAACGTGGTCCCAAATTTGAGGCTCTATGTCCTCTTGTCACCTGGCCCTTGACGGCAGCCAGTCTTGCCTTGCTTTCTGCAAGCTGCACCTTGTTCACCCACGCCAGGCCAAGCAGTGACTCTCGTGATTCTTCACCTCCCCTTTTCAGATCTTTACTTCCCCACTTTCCCCACTGCATTGTGTAAGATCTCATTCTTATAATAAATACCTTAGTCCATAATAATCAGTGGTTCTGCTTCCATGGTTTGGCCCTGATTAATGCAAATGCTATTGGGTTGGCCCTGACAAAGAAGCTTCCTTCTTCTTATTATTATTATTATTACTTTTTTTTTTTTGAGATGGAGTTTCACTCTTGTCACCCAACCTGGAGTGCAATGGCATGATCTCGGCTCACTGCAACCTCCGCCGCCTGGGTTCAAGCAATTCTCCTGCCTCCTCAGTAGCTAGGATTACAAGCACGCGTCACTAGGCCCCACTAATTTTTTTGTATTTTTAGTAGGGAAGGGGTTTCACCAGGAATGTTGACCAGGCTGGTCTCGAACTCCTGACCTCAGATGATGCGCCCACCTTGGCCTCCCAAAGTACTGGGATTACAGGCGTGAGCCACCGTGCCCAGCCAAAGCTTCCTGCTTCCCTTCTTTGCTTCCTGCCCACACCCCCTCCATCTCTCCATCCGCCCCTCCTCTCCAGTCACCACATCTCCATCTTTCCTCATCCTCTCCCTGCGTCAGTGGGAAGGTCTGATGCAGCCGCTGCTCCTCTTAACCACTATGCTATTTACAGTCTCAAGCCCTCTTCTCTCTGACCTCTGCCTGGTTTCCTTTTGCACTATTTCCTGAGCTCCATTCCCAGTCGCAATTCTGTGTCTGGCAGGCAGCCTGAAGATTTAACACAGGCTGGCACCCAGCAAAGGCAAATGCCAAGATGCCCTGCCCAGAGCTTCCCACTCATTATTTCCAATTAGAAAATGTCACTAGGGAAGAAAACAAATACGCTCAAAGATAACTCAGAGAGCACTGTGTGTTTGTTGCCTGGAATAGATGCCAAATAAATATTTTATCAAAGGAATTTACATAGTAAAACTATTTGAGTTGGAAATTATCCAGGAATACTTTCAAAATGAACATGGTGGTTTTTTATTTTATTTTATTTTATTTATTTTTTATTTTTTGGTAGTATGCATGGATTTGAAATTCCCCCTGGGAGCTGGCTCTGTTTTTGATGAGCTCAAGGTCTCTTCCAGCTCTGTGATGATGGCTCAAAGGCCAGAGCTTCTGATCCCAGCCCAGCCATTGCTCAATGTGAGTCAGCTGAACTCTCTAGACTTTGCCTAGTCTATCTGGATCAATGAAATAATCAGAGAAAAAAAAATCAAAATCATTGTATCTTAGGCTTGGAAGCAACCTTACAGGTTATCCCTAATTAAGGAAGCTGGCTGTTGTCTGTCTCCATCCAACCCCTCTGGCTTCGCCAGACCCGTCACTTAGCTGGGACCCCGTGGCCATACAGTATTGTCTTCTCTCAGCAGGCAGATGCTGGGTATGGTGACTCAGGCCTCTGTCCAAGAGTTGGGACAAGTGTCTAATGCAGAATTTTCTTCATGTAGAATTAGACACTGTAAATCTTAAAAGGACATTGTTACCCAGGTTGACATGGGACATGTGAGAGGAAGAATAGGCCAGGCGCAGTAGCTCACACCTGTAATCCCAGCACTTTGGGAGGCCAATGTGGGCGGATCACGAGGTCAGGAGTTCAAGACCAGGCTGGCCAACATGGTGAAACCCCATCTCTACTAAAAATACAAAAATTAGCTGGGCGTGGTGTTGTGTGCCTATAATCCCAGCTACTCGGGAGGCTGAGGCAGGAGAATCACTTGAACCAGGGAGTCAGAGGTTGCAGTGAGCCAAGATCGCGCCATTGCACTCTAGCCTGGTGACAGAGCGAGATGCTGTCTCAAAAAAAGAAAAAAAAAAGAATAATGTATTGGAAACAAGAATGAAGCAGGTAGCTACTGTTCTTAGGCACCTAGTATGTGCTACACAATTTATATCTATGTTAACATTTAGTCCTCACAACCACCAAGGAGGCTCTCTCCAATTTACAAATGAGGAAACTGAGGTCCGGTAATCCCAAGTAGTATCCCTCGAGTTGCACAATTGGTGATTGGCAGATTTGGGATGCCAGACACTTTGGAGTGACCCTGACCTCTCTTCTCTTTCCACATACAACCCTGCACCCCACACCCATCTCTCAGTCGTGCTCAAGAGTCTTTTCCTGTCAGGCGCAGTGGCGCATGCCTGCAATCCCAGCACTTTTGGAGGATTGCCTGTAATCCCAGCCAAAGTAGGAGAACCGCTTGAGCCCAGGAGCTTGAGACCAGCCTGGACAGCATAGTGAGACCCTGTCTCTGCAAAAACAACAAAAAAAGTTGGCTGGGTGTGGTGGTGTGCACCTGTTAGTCTCAGTTGCTTAGGAGGCTGAGGTGGGAGTATTGCTCGAGCCCAGGACGTCAGGGCTGCAGTGAGCCATGATTGTGCCACCTCATTCTAGCCTGGGTGACAGAGCGAGATCTTATGTCAAAAAAAAGTATTTTCCAGTTTCCTACTAAGTAAGGGAATTGAGAGCACATGTCAAATCATATATCACATCAGATCACGTATCAGTAGTTAGTTGGGTAAATTTATGATTAAACAATGCAACTATCTTTTAGTCCTGCAGATTGAGTTATTTTTACCTCCTTCTTTTGTTGTCTACATACATTCCTCAGTTGTGTAACTCTTCTGTTCATTTGGGCTGGTTGGGTTCTACCAGGCCATGGAAATCAAGGTCACGTGTCCTGACCAGGCAAGCTGAGTGAGCAGCAGCCCTTACCTGAGGTTGGCTTGACAAGGTTTATTTGGTTCTGCTGCATATCACACTTGTCTCACATCTGTCTTTGGAGCCTCTTGAAGCACAGGGGCATCCCAGAGGACCCCCGACTGCAGCCCAGAGAGAAAAAAGACCTGCTCCAGCCAGCGGCAAAGCTGGCACCTAAGGCCGAGGTCCCTGACTCCCGTGTGCATGTTTCAATGTTTCTTTCCTATATGTATGATGTAGTTCTACCTATGGCTAGTGCTGCCTTCAAGAGCAGGGTTGGAGGCCTTAGCCATCTCCTCTTAATCTCCATCAGCATCCCATGCCCGCCAACACACACACACTTCCTTCTTTGTCATGAGCATCTGGCGTTTTCTCAGTTCAGGTAAAGTCCTGTGAAAACACAACAATCCAGGTCCCCAAGCCTGCCCCTTCCCAAGTAAATGAAGCCCCTGTGTCCCTCCTAGGTGGAAATTCTGGGATCATCTGCACATATGCCTATCTCTTCCATGAGACTCTCCACTCCCTCCCAGGGGTAGGAAATAGACCTGTTCTTTCTCTCTGATATCCCTAAAAGTGTAATGAGGGTTCTTCACACTTGCAATGAATATTTGTCACTGTGCCTGCTGCTGCAGTGGCCAGCTGTGCTTGGTCCCAACTAAGAAGGCTTGTGCTTGTCTGTTTGGAAGTAGGTATTCCTTGCATTTCATCTGTAATGTAGGCAAGCAGTTGAAAGAGAAGACAGATTTTAATTTTTAATGGCTCATGTCACTTTGCTGCTCTATATATCACAGACTCCCACCTTAGACTGTGGGTTCCTCAAGCACCTTAGACTGTGGGTTCCTCAAGCAAAGCAATCACGTATCAGGCATGTAGTTGCTACCCAGTAAGTGGTTGCCAGGTAAACGACTGAGCATCTGAATACTGCTCCTTATAGCACCTAATAAAAGGGGAACACACCTTATCTGAAAAGGTGACTCGGCAGTCAGGTGTACTGTCACTTAACAGGGAGTCATCACACGATGCTTTTTACTGCAGAAAGAGATAAAACAAATGGATCTGCCACACAATGTAAAACATGAGGGCAATCATTGCGCACCTCCATGCCTTCTGCCTGTCACATGTTAGTGACTTAAAGATACACTTACAGGAAACGATAGTATATACTTCCGAATTGCAGTGGGTTATCTGCTCAGCTGCTCTTCTCTGGGGCCAGTACAACCTCCCCTGCACTTCTGATGCACACACCCCTAGATAGTTCCAGGTGGTCATGTTCATGCTGTGACCTGCCCAGATTCCTCTCCCAGGAATTGGGAATTTTGGACACAGAAGCACAAGGAAAGGGAGCTGTCTGGGGAGGCAGGCCCATTATGGCAGCCTCCTGGAGGGAAGCCCACCACCACTGCTACTGCGCACCCAAGATCAGCCACAGCAACTGCCCATTCTAGGCCAGCACAACACAGGAAAACACGACATGGAAATACATAGACTCTAGTAAAACACACACACACACACACACACACACACACACACACACAGATGGAATCAGAAAGCTTGCTAGTCCTCAAAAATAAAGATGTAAAATTTGGAAGTGAGTTACTTTTTCTCTGTTGCTCTCCTCACTTCTGTGGTATCATCACGGCTTGTATTTTACTGAATATTTCCGACATTTCTAGAAACCTATGGAGGGCAAGAATGTGTCTTATTCACCTTTGTGCATCTCACTGGCCTAGCCCACCCCTCACCTCCACAGGCACTCGATGGACACTGATGTAGCTGAATTAAGTTTGATTGACTAGGACAAAAATAATGAATTCGCATGTTTCTAGGGTAAACAATATTAAAACTATGCTCAAATTTAATCATTTATCCTTCTTTCTATCCAGATATTATTTAGGAAACAGGCAGCCATTAGGTAAGTGCCTGTGCTTTTTTAAAAAGGGGGGAAACAGAGATGAAAGGGAAACTCCTGTGGCACATTTCCCATTTCTTGTCCCCAGCTCCTGTGCCTTTGCCTCTCTTTAGCGCCCTTTCTCTGCCCTCGGCCTCCCTCACCACTTCATGGCCCCAACTGCAGGGCTGTGTGCTGTCGGGGGCCCCACCGCAGACACCGCGAGTTGTGTCTTACTATGCAGTTTGGACAGGGCACAGAGGGCAACTGGGCGCTGCCATTCTGGACACCTCACCGAGTAGACTCTTGCCAGAGCCCAGCTGCCTTTCTGAGCTTTAGAACCAAAGAAAGACATGGCTGAGGGAAGAGCCACGAACCAGGAGTGGTCAGAAACGGGTCACCAAGAAGGTCCCCAAGATGGTGAGCTTGGGGGAACGACAGAGCAACCCTAAGGAGTCCTTTGGCCACTGTTTAAGACTGAGTAGCCTCCCCGTTGGAAGGGCTTTTTATTTTTTTATTTGATTTATATTTTATTTTATTTTATTTTTGAGACATAGTCTCACTCTGTCACCCAGGCTGGAGTGCAGTAGTGTGATCTCAGCTCACTGCAACCTCCACCTCCCAGGTTCAAGCAACTCTCCTGCCTCAGCCCCCTAAGTAGCTGGTATTACAGGCTCATGCCACCAAGCCCAGCTAATTTTTTGTATTTTTAGTAGAAACGGGGATTTGCCATGTTGGCCAGGCTGGTCTCAAACTCCTGACCTCAAGTGATCCACCCACCTCAGCCTCCCAAAGGGCTGGTATTACAGGCATAAGCCACCGCACCCAACCGGAAAGAGCTTTTTATAGTGATTTACTGATCAGTGAATTTGTCACCTAAAAACACTCCAGAGGTGTGGGTGATGGTTTTGGTGAGATGGGGAGAGGTTCTGAGTCAAGAGCGGCAGTCTTATGCTTAGAGCAGTCAGGGCTGTTACTCCAGCGCCAGGTGTCCCCTGGCCACACCCTCCTGTCCTGCCCTCTCGGCTGCCTCACCCCAGAAGGCAGCTGTGTGGTGCTGACTGAGATGCGGCTGTGGATGCAGCTGAAGGCTGCCAACATTCAAATGCCTTCCCTGCTGGCTGCTCAGAAAGTGCCGGACAAAGGAGAGGGAGATGATACAGACACATTTCTTAGAAATCTGTAAACCTGTATTTGCCTGTGTGCTACACTAAATATTGTATACAATGAAGGGGGCCTTGCACTTTGAGGGGATTCCTCTCATGTTTCAGAATGTTAATGATAAGAAAATGTATTCTTACATTATTTTTCTATGCCTGTACTATATCTTGGAAAGTAAGCAATTGAGGTGATTTTTTTATACTGCAGACCCATTAAAAATAATTGAAATATATCTTTTGATTATTTTCTTCTGCTTATTTTTATTTATTTATTTATTTTTGAGACAAGATCTTGCTCTTTTACCCAGGCTGGAGTGCAGTGGTGCAATCTCGGTTTACTGCAGCCTTGATCTCCTGGGCTCAAGCAATCCTCCTGCCTCAGCCTCCTGAGGAGCTGGATTACAGGAGTGCACCACCACATCTGGCTAATTTTTCTTTTCTTTCTTTCTCTCTTTTTTTTTTTTTTGTAGGGACGGGGTCTCAGTATGCTGCTCAAGCTGGTCTCGTACTCCTAGGCTCAAGAGATCTCCCTTCCTTGGCCTCCCAAAGTGCTGGGATTACAGGCACGAACCACTGCACTGGGCCTATTTTCTTGACTGTGAGTAATACATGTACCATTTAGAAAGAATCACCTTATTAATATTGCTATAGACCTTCTTACTTATGTACCTTTACATGAAAATATATTGTGTTAAAAATAATTAGATCATACCATAACCATAATGTTTTGAAACTTTATTTTACTAAAAAATATATCATGAATGTAGTTCAATGACAGTCAACAGATGTACATCATCATCATCAATCTTAATATTACATAGTTTTCTATTTTATGGAGTAGTATAATTTGATCAGTTTCTATTTTAAGACTTTAGATGGTTTCTAATTTTTGTCTTAATAAACCACATTTGATAAATATATTTTTATAATACCTCTGCTTTCTTGTCTGATCACTGTTTTAGGAAAATTTCTTAGAAGTATAATCTTTACATGATTTTTCACTCATAGCCACTCTTTCATCTAGAAAAACTCTACCAATTTATACTCCACCCCACCCCCAACAGGAATGGCATAAAAGTCTATTTAAAATAATTTTAAATTTGTTTTTATTAAATATTAAATACATACAAATAATATTTCTAATGTGAAGGACGTAAAGAATACACAGATATTTATCTGTGAACCCACCATCTAGCTTCAGAGCTAGAATATCACCAGTCTCCTAGAAGCCCCCCTGTGCCTTCTCTGACCCCATCCCTGCACTCCTCCTCCTCAGAAGAAGAATCCACTTTCCTAAACTGTGTCTCTACCAGTTCCTTGCTTTTAGTTAGTTTTACCACATATGCTTGTATCCTTTAACAATATGTGCCTTAGTTCTGCATATTTTTCCTTTATAGAAATTAAATTGTACTTATGTATTCTTTTATAACTTGCTTTAAAAAATTTGTAAATGAAGTATGTCACACATTCAAATGCCTTCCCTGCTGGCAGCTCAGAAAGTGCTGGACAAAGGAGAAGGAGATGATACCAGACCCATTTCTTAGAAATCTGTAAACCTGTATTTGCCTGCGTGCTACACTAAATATTGTATACAATGAAGGGGGCCTTGCATTTTGAGGGGCTTCCTCTCATGTTTCAGAATGTTAATGATAAGAAAATGTATTCTTACATTATTTTTCTATGCCTCTAATATATCTTGGAAAGTAAGCAATTGAGGTGATTTTTCTTATACTGCAGACCTATTAAAAATAATTGAAATATATCTTTTGATTATTTTCGTTTAATTTTTTTAGAGAAGTGCATGTATATTAAGTTCAGCGTGGTGCATTTTCTGAGGGAGCACATGCCTAGATCAAGACACAAAACATTACTAGCACCCCAGAAACCCTTTTGACTCCCTCCCAGTTACTGTCTTTGTCTGAAAGGAACCACTATTCTGACTTCTAACACCATACAATTTATACAAATGGAATTAGAGTGACTGACTTCACACGCTCAACTTTATGTTCATGCCTCTTGCTATATGTAGCTACAATTCACTCATTTTTACCACTGTATAGTGTTCTATTATACAAATATATAATTTATATATCTATGTATCTATTGATGGATATTTGGGTTTCTTCCAGCATTTGCTCTTATAAACAGGGGTGTTCTAAGCATTCTCCTATGTGTCTTCTTATGCCCAGGTGCAAAGGTTTCTTTAGGAGAAACTAGGAATGGAACTGCAGGGTCATAGAATATAGTTATTGTTTGCTTTAGAACACGAACTCACCACTTACCACTCAATGTCATACATGAACTCACCACTTACCACTAAAAAAAAATTGGCCAATCTAATAGGTAAAAATTAAATTCATTGCTTAAATTTGCATTTTTAAATTATATTTATTTCACTATTACTTTTTTTTTTTTTTTAACTCCTGGACTTAAGCAATTCCTCCCATCTCAGCCTCCCGAGTAGCTGGGACTACAGGCAGGCCCACTGCTCATAGCTACATTATTACATTTTTTTTTTTAGCTGTTCATTGGTCATTTTTATTTTTTCTTTTGTGGATTCTTTGTGTTCTCAATTTCCCATGCTAGTTGCTGATCTTTTTCTTAATGATTTGTAAATGCCTTTATATATTAAGGATATTACTCTGATATCTATTATGAATGCTGCAAATATATTCCCTATAATTTATTCTATCTTAGAGTTTGGCTTATGATACTTTTTGCCATTTAATGTTTTATTTCTTTCCCCTGGGATGTGCAAACTCCAGAGAAATGGGGTCAGTGCTCCCCCATTTCAAGTTTTAAATTAAAATTTTTGTCCAATTAGTGCCATCATTCTTTTTTTCTTACAGGCTCTGCCCTTTCTGCTGTTGGAAGCAGGTTTAAACATGCTTTTCTACTCCAGGATGACGCATTTGTTAAGGTGACTTTTTATTTTTCATATTTACTGAGTAACTGGTTTTCCCAAGTTGCTGTCCAGAGATAGCAGTGGCTGGGTCAGGGTGTGACCTGCTATGCAGACTTTAGAAGCAGAAGTGATGATGCAGCTTCTGTTATCTGGAGATCTGTTTTCATCACACAGAGGATGATAAGTGAATTCACTTGTGTGCTAAGGCCAGTCCTTTGCTTCTTATGCAAAGGATGTGGAAATAATAGTCCTTTCTCCCTAGAACCCAGCAGGTAGGCTGGGCTCATTACAACAGGGAAATTTCACCAAAGCAAGAACACCTGAGGGACAAAACTGGCCTGCCAAGACCAACCAAATGAACTCTCCAGCAATTGCCTGGCATGGGCTCCCCTCCCACAGGGGTTGCTGATTGCTCAGGCTTTTATAATTCTTGAGCCCTGTTCCAAGGAGTTTTTGTGGTTTAAATCAATATGCTTCTGGGAATAAGTGCCCTTATTATTTCCTCGTTCACATTATTTGCTGTGCTCTTATAGCACCCTGACATAATATTCTTTGTGCTGCAGTACAATAACAGTCCTTTCAGGAATCTCTAACAGCTTTCTAATTAGGACCTACAACCTCACGACAGATGGAGAACATGAAGCCCAGAGACAGGGATGGTGAGGCTTCACCTTGGTCACAAAAGAGCCAAGCTTCAGGGCCTATGGGCTACACTGCTTATCTAGCAGTGATTGCAGAATTATAAGGCTGCTTCAGGGCATGGCAGGGAATGCTGGATCCTTTGCAGTAAGGCTTAGGGGCACCCGCTATTGAACTAGCCTCTGCCATTTCTAGCCACACCCAGGAATCGGTTGAGCAATAGCTCTTGTGTTTACAGCCACTTCTCAGTGGCAAGGCTCAGACCGGAAACTGCATGAAGGCTAGGTAATTTGACACTGAATTTTGCGTTAAATAGTTAAACTTTCTTGATTACCTACCATGTGCCAGCCACCATGTTGAGCACCAGGAAGGCAAAGATGAACTCCCAATCCCTCCCTTTGGATATTTACAGTCTAGAAGAGGAGACAGATCTGTGAGCAGAACATTATAAAGTTATCAGAAGCCGGGTGCTTTACTAGAGAGTAGAACAGAAGGCCAGTAGTACTCAGCCCCGGGGCCTTCAGTGTTCTTCCTGCTTCCTGGAAAGGAGGACTTTTGACTTGGGTAAATCATAGGAGATGGGCTGGAGCTTGCTGGGCAGAGTTGGGAGAGAAGTGCGTTGCATGCTGAGAGCCAAGCACCGACAAAGGCCCAGAGACGTGCAATGTACTGGGGTTCAGGGAGCAATGAGAAAGTCAGCATGTCCAAAGTGGCCATGGTCATCCCACTGTTCTTTCTCTTGTCTATTATTACAACAAAAATCTCTCTGTCTATGCTCAATATTTTATTTCGGATGTTGAAAAGGCTGAACATTGTTTTTGTCTTTGCCTTGTTGCTTTAACCCTTCATTTCTCCTCAGGGACTTGTGGGTGCCTCTGAGGAGGGAAAGGTCACGTATCTTTCCTGAAAAAAAAGCACAAAGATGAATATCTCACTGCAGTATGAGGACACAAGGTGGGGCAGTTCAGGGAATTTGGGGCAGGAACCCAGCTGGGCTTTCTTTTACCATCTTTACAGCAGAAAACATGGCCTTGGAAAGCTTCCAAGGTTACCTGTCCAGATCCAGTCATCCAGAGGGAGGTCCTGTGGTTCAAAGCTTGTTGCAGAATCCATAGATGAAAACACATGGCAGGTAGGGGTGTGAGGGGAAAACACGAGCTGGCAAGCAACCTAACACACGGCCCACGTAGGAGCAGAAGCCTCAGATTTGAGCTTTAGGAATTGGGTTCACAGCTGGCTCTGGAATCAGGCTGGACTGCAGTGGTGGGAAACCAAAGGCCACCTCTGGCTTCCTTTCTTTGCCTTTTTTTTTTTTTTTTGAAATGGAGTCTTGCTCTGTCACCCAAGCTGGAGTGCAATGGCGCCATCTCAGCTCACTGTAGCCTCCACCTCCCAGGTCCAAATGATTCTCCTGCCTCAGCCTCCCGAATAGCTGGGATTACAGGCACGTACCACCATGCCCGGCTAATTTTGTATTTTTAGTAGAGATGGGGTTTCACCATGTTGGCCAGGCTGGTCTCAAACTCCCGACCTCAAATGATCTGCCCACCTCAGCCTCCCAAAGTGCTGAGATTATAGATGTGAGCCACTGTGCCCAGCCTCTTTGTCTTTGTTTTCCCTGGTGTCTTCCTTGCTCACTCCACCTTCCACAGGGTCTTCCAGGTTTCATATACCTCCTTAGTCAACACAAATAATGTGTGTCCTGCTCAAGTCTCCCTCAGTGCCACTTGGACACCTCAGCTAGACCTTGGCACCACGGACACTCACTGAGTACCCTGACATAGGTGACAACATCTGGGAGCTTCCTGGGGGCAGGGACTCTGTCCCTGCTACACATATACATGATGATTTGCACATAGTAGATAGTCTAGGAAAAAGAAGGGCCAGGAGGGAGGAAAGATGGACAGGGAAGAACCTAGCTGGAAACTGAAACCCCAGCCATCCAAAGCAACAACATATTCTAAATTCTGACCAAGAGGAGGCTGCTGCTGGAGGAGGGTGAGAATGACTAGGAGGAAAGAGATAGATAAGTACTCTTAAAAAAAATTAAAAAAATTAAAACTTTCTTGCAAGTTTTAGTCACTGCCCACTCCCTCCTACCTCAGCCCTCAGTTCAGAGCCTCAGCTGCACTTGAGGCCCACGGTGAGCCTCTGTGATACTAGCAGGCCCTGCTCCAGCCTCTCCACTGCTCAGAGCTCAGACAGCTTGCCTCTCTGCCTCAGTCTCCGAGGCGAACACTGGGGATGGCCAGCAGGCAGATCAGCCAGGATTGCTTCAAGCCAGGGTGAGAACCAGGGCTGGAGGCCAGAATAGCCAGGGAGCTGATGGGAGGCATGGGGCAGTGGAGGGAGCTGGCTGCTCCTGGCAGGACATGGTAACATTAGCCTCCATTTGTCTACAGTGCCTCCGACCCCAGGGCCATGCAGCTAGACTGCTTCACACAGATGGATTGGGATACGGGCTATGGAGGAATACTGAGTATTGTGTCTGGCTAGAAATCAGGACATGGAAGGACGAACAGGTTTTTCACGGATGGAGGGAAGAGTGTTCAGACAGAGGGAAAATATGAGCAAAGCCACAAAGGTAAGATAGTGCAAACTGAGCTCATGGAATGCCCAGGGTGCCAGTTTTACTGCGGGCTGGGATACACACAGAGGGCCGTAGAAAAGAGAGGTCTGGGCCGGGTGCAGTGGCTCACGCCTGTAATCCCAGCACTTTGGGAGGCCGAGGCGGGCAGATCACGAGGTCAGGAGATCGAGACCATCCTGGCTAACACGGTGAAACCCCGTCTCTACTAAAAATACAAAAAATTAGCCGGGCGTGGTGGCAGGCGCCTGTAGTCCCAGCTACTCGGGAGGCTGAGGCAGGAGAATGGCATGAACCCGGGAGGCGGAGCTTGCGGTGAGCCGAGACTGCGCCACTGCACTCCAGCCTGGGCGACAGAGCGAGACTCCGTCTCAAAAAAAAAAAAAGAAAAGAGAGGTCTGGCTGCTAGGCCTGTGTCTAATTGTGGAGGATCTTCAATGATATATTGAAGAATGTGCACTGTATTGGGAACCCAGTTTTGTTTTTTTTTTTTTAACAAGAAGAGTGAATTGCAGCTGGCGCGGGGGCTCACATATGTAATCCCAGCACTTTGGGAGGCCAAGGTGGGTGGATTGCTTGAGCCCAAAAGTTTGAGACCAGCCTGGGCAACGTGGTGAAACCCCGCCTCTACAAAAAAATACAAAAAATTAGCCCGATGTGGTGGCACGCGCCTGTAATCCCAGCTACCCAGGAAGCTGAGGTGGGGGATCCCTTGAACCCAGGAGGTCAGGGCTGCAGTGAGCTGTGATCGTGCCACTGCACTCCAGCCTGGGCAACAGAGTAAGACTCTGTCTAGATTTAAAAAAAAAAAAAAAGAAGAATGAATTGGGAAGCAATGGTAAGAAAGGTTCACTCAGAGGAGACTGAAACTAGCAGCAAGGAAATTAGGAAGTGAAAGCAATATTCCAGGAAGACATAATGAGGTTGTGAACTAGGATGATGGTAGTGGGAAAAGAAAGAAAGCACGTTGTGAAGAACAGCACCCCGTTCCCCAAAAGTAGGACAGCTCCTCTCCCTGCATGAACACCTATCTCACAGAAACATGCAGACACACACACTTAGGAGGTGAGAGAAAACACAGCCTCTTCACCGTCACTCTCTTCTCAGCTGTCAACCCCAGCCCTCCCCAACTCCACCCCCACTCCACCCCCACCACTTCTCTGTGCACCCTTCTCCTGTTCCCTCCATCCCATTCTGGGCAATGGCTGGAGGCATCCGCTCTAAGGACAGAAAGAGTCACACGAAGGTTATTTATATCTGCGGCTGCACTGCCTGAGCCCTTAGTCTCGAAGGCATGTGTTTGGTGGGGAGCTGGGCCACAACGCATCTCCCAGGCAAAGCCCTCCTGCTGGGAAGTCTGCAGCTGTGGCCTCCATGAAATCTTGCTGATAAAATAGGGCCAAGAGGTCATAGAGTCCATTCCTCTGCCTCCAGAGAGGCTCTTGGCAAATGCACCTCTGTGATTGAACAGGCTTCCTGTCTTAAGGCCCTTCAGAAGCACCCATGAAGCCTGAATGCTTCCTTCTTTCAGTATGTAATTGTTTCTAGAGTTCACTAAGTTCTTCCTTATACTCAATGTAAACTTCCTTGCTTCTTGCTCCATTTTTGGGGGGTGGCAAACTCTCCAAAACCTTGTTAGTAGGGAAAGAGTTCTGATCAGTTAGGTATGAAGCACCCATTGAACCTTGGGGCTTATGTCCAGTAGATTTGATGGTGCAAACTAACTTTGGATATAAGCCCATTTATTTTGCAGTTGACCAAATAAGTCTCAGAAAGAATGACAGGATGTCTGGGTCGGCTCACTGCACTGGTGATACTTCTCCCATATCTTCCTGGCACTCCCCTGCCCCCTCTCTCACTTCCCCAGGGATCAATACTTGTGCTGACAGGGAAGGCTGAGAGATGGAAATACCCTCCTCCCAACAGAAAAGGATACATTCCTCTTGAGTCTAAGAGCTTTTAGTCCCTTCTAGGTCCTCAAATGAGACCTGGAACGTCATCCTTCTTTAAGGCAGAGATGACCTGAAATGTCACTGTTTTGTAGGGCTGAAGTTCCTGTCCCCGCTGCTCTCTGGGCCACTGGGCCAGGCTGGCCAATCCACCACTGAGGAGGAAGGCAACCAATATCTGTTGGGCACCCGCCAGGCACCAGGCTTTGTGAGTGTTATCACATTTAATCTTCACAACTCTTCAACAGGGTAACTATGAGCCCCCTTTCACAGATGAAGAGGCCAAGGCTCAGAGAGATGTGATGAGAAGAAACAGAGACTCGGAGAATAGCCAGGTGGCTGATATAGGGTGTGGGACAGTGGAGAGAGCTGTTCGTTCCCATTAACAGGACCTGATAACATTAGCCACCATTTATCCACATTGCAGCCAACCCCAGGGTCGGGCAGCTGAGTGTACACAATACTGGTTACAGAGAAATATGAAGGATCGTGCTTGGTTAGACAAATCAGGGTCAGGGTGTTTCTATAGGGTCTGGAAAGACAGATGGGTTTTTCTATGTGGAATAGTTGGTGTCAGGGGAGACTGAATTCTGACAGGAGTTATTTCCCTCTGGCCAAAGCTTTGTGGGAGTTTCCCATCTTCCCCAATCACAGAGAATTGAAGCAGGCTTAAGATTGCAGTGAGAGGCTGAAGTGGGAGGATCCCTTGAACTCAGGTTGAGGCCGCAGTGAGCTATTATTGCGCCATTAAGCTCCAGCCTGGGTGACAGACCCCTCATTTTTAAAAAGTAAAAATTAAAAGATTGCAATGAGTGGTTTAGGTTGGATATAAGAAAAACTTAGTGGGTTGTGAGGATGGTTAAATACCAAAGGAGACACAGGGTGAGTGAGCCTTTGTGAAGGGCTGCACAGGGAACTGCAGTGGCTCTGCCCTGGGGAGTCCTGTCCAAACCCATTCCTTTCTCCTTTCACTGGAGAACATGATCAGCCACGTGAGGAAGCTCAGGCTCACCCTGAATAGTCACGGTCAGAATGTGTTTCTCACCACCCTCCCTCCCATGGTCTCTGCAGGAAAGAGGGGGTGGCATGGCCGTGAACCCCAGGAGCTTGGCCACCACTGTATTCCCAGCACCTGCTATGCTGTGTGTGTTTGACAGACATCTCGTGCATGAATCAAAGAATACCTTCTCAAAATGGTTTATGCCCTTGCTGGCCATGCCTTTAGCATACATCCGGAAAATCTGTGTTCGAATTCCTTCTCTGACAAATGCTGATTGAGCTGCAGTGCCTTGTGATGTCAGCTGAGTTACCTTCAGTGCTCAGGAGTGTTTTCTTTTCATCAGCTACTCCTGGTCAGCCACTTGGGAGTGGGTGGGGGGCAGGGGGAATTAGTGCCTAGGACAGATTCTCAGGCCCTCTCATGTGTCAACAGCCCTCAAGGAGATTCCAGATGTGCTCACTCTCAGAGACAACAATTCTAGCCAGGCTAATATGCTTTTGAGCATCCCAAGGGACATGGTAACCATTGAGTAGGATAGCTCTGATGTTGCTGAAGGGATTCTGTGACTATACTTATTTCTCCCTAATACTCCAATACCTTGAAATGTGACACGGAGGGGTTCAAATCATCCAGCAGCCTGGCCAGAGGCAGCAGCAGTTTCTGTAAGGAGACAGTATTTAACTTTTTTTTAAGTGTAAACTCCTGTCTCCTTGAAGTTAAATATTTCCTTCACACTTTAGGGGCCTTTTTTTTTTCGAAATGCTCTTTTGCCCCTCTCTGGATAACAAGTAGTAGGTGCTCAATTGTTTGAATTACATCAAGAAGAGGCTGAGAAGGGACACACGCATTCTAAATGCTGCAAAAGAAGAAAATGCCAAACGATGGCCAGTTTTTAAATTACTTAAGATCCTCTCCCGAGTGTTACATACAAGGGGACACTATCATGAATTTCAGAAATGGCACTCTTTTGTGTTTTGTCACTTTTTTTAAGCCCTCGCCACATTTTCTAAAAATAGGCCTTATTCTGTCCAGTGAGACTCCAAGTTGCTTGGGGGTTCTCCCTGTCAGTTTCCTTTTGACTCTCCCACGGCCAGCTCAGGCCTGGCGACGTGTTGTGCTCTCACAGGGAGAGTCCCTCTCCTCCATTTGCATTTCCACAGTAGTCTTCTCTTCTGCTTCTCCTGTGAACCTCCTAATCACAGGATGTCCGCTTTTGCTGGTGGGTGGGATATGAAGGCAAAGCAAGGCAGGAGCAAGTGTTAACAATTCATCATCACTTTCCTCATCTCACTACTCTTTCATGCCATCAGGGCAAGATGACATAAATAGAAAGCATCATTAGCTCCACTGCTTCCAGTGGGGGATGGAGGGAAACTCCAGCCTATTTTCACCTTCCATGGTCTTAGGAAACAGGAGAGGGTAGACACCGGTATCTTCTCATAATTCCTTAGTGTAATTTAGTTCCCTTTTATTTGTCCTAATCCTTTACACATTTTTAACTCATCACCACAAATAAATTCATCAAAACCCTCAAATGAAATCACCAAGAAAACCAAAGAAAGTTGAGTTAGAGAGTATTTCTTCTCTGCATACCATGTAATTTTCTTCAAAACATCCTTTCTGGGTATTTGAGATGCTCATTTTTTTCCTGATTGTTATAATTCATTTGGCATTACCCCATCTTTATTAATTTTACTTAAAAAATTATCTGGAAACAACAACAAAATATTTTTAGAACAGCAAATTTCAAAAATGATGCCCAAAGGAAAAAACGGTTCTGGAAAAGGGGGAAATGGGGACATGTCTCTGGGAGCAACAGTGCTGATGAGAAGGCTCAGGGCCCCAAAGTGGGTGGCGACACAGCAAACAGACACATTCTACGCGAAAAACATGGCAAAACGACGGAAGCCATGGAAAAGTTAAAATCTAGTATGAGACTCAATGAAGTGTCTCCACAATATAGTGAAGATAAAAGCCAGGCCAGGGGACAACTTGGGTAAGGAGGATAATGACCCAGACCCCCGCTTTTCAAGAAGCAGCATTTGCCTTGCCTGTAAGTGGGATGGGTAAGCCTGTGTTTACAGATCCTTCCATAAAGACAAAATCTGGATATCATATTATTATGGTTGAAGGAAGAAAATAAAATCAAATTAAGCCAACTCACCAGACTTTAGACTTCTCACTACATCTCATCATACTGTTATTGTCTATGTGACTGGTAAAGGCTAAGTCCAAGGCATTGTGCAAAGAACAGGGTTTGATTGAGCAACATAGTATTTTTTTTTTTTGAGACGGAGTCTCGCTCTGTCGCCCAGGCTGGAGTGCAGTGGCGCAATCTCGGCTCACTACAAGCTCCGCCACCTGGGTTCACACCATTCTCCTGCCTCAGCCTCCCAAGTAGCTGGGACTACAGGTGCCTGCCACCACGCCTGGCTAATTTTTTGTATTTTTAGTAGAGACGGGGTTTCACTGTGTTAGCCAGGATGGTCTCGATCTCCTGACCTTGTGATCTGCCCGCCTCGGCCTCCCAAAGTGCAGGGATTACAGGCGTGAGCCACCGTGCCCGGCCTCAACATAGTATTTAATACTAGAAGCAAAGCAAACGCATGAACCTAAATACCCTCCTTGTCATCTATACACTCTTTCGTGTGGAACTTTTAGTGAGTCAAAGAATTCCAATGTAGGCCCCCTTATCTAGAAATCCACTTAAGGGTCATCTAGGTCTTAAGGTAACAGTTCTCATTTTTTCATTTTTCATTCCCTGCACTTTCCAACTCCATAGGCAGTAGCCACATGAAGCCATTTAACTGAAGGAGGCCGGGCATGGTGGCTCATGCCTGTAATCCTAGCACTTTGGGAGGCCGATGGGGGTGGATCACTGGAGGTCAGGAGTTCAAGACCAGCCTGACCAACATGATGAAACTCCACCTTTACTAAAAATACAAAATTAGCCGGGTGTGGTGGCACATGCCTGTAATCCCAGATACTTGGGAGGCTGAGGCAGGAGAATCACTTGAACCTGGGAGGCGGAGGTTGCAGTGAGCTGAGATCGCACCATTGCACTCCACCCCAGGCAACAAGAGCAAAACTCCATCTCTAAATAAATAAATAAATAAATAAATAAATAAATAAATAAAATAATTAAATTTAACTGAATTAAAAGTAAATTAATTCAGTTCCTCAATCACACTAGCCATATTTTAAGTACTCAATAGCTACATGTGGCCAGTGGCTGTAGCGGTTAGTGCAAATTTAGAACGCCTCCATCATTACAGAAAGTTCTGTTGGTCAGTGGTGCCTATACTCTACATACCAAGTGCCAGGTCATCTTATTCTCAATATTCTGTTGGCAGGTATTGGCACAGAAAGATCAAGTGACTTATCTAAGGATTAATGATGAGTCTTATAAATAGAATTTAAACTGACTTCTCTGGGACCCTAGTCTGAGGATCTTGTCTAATTGGTTTGTTCTTCTCTGAACAGTATCTTAACATGAGAAATGGCATATTCCCCAGTTGCAAATTGCCTGCTATCTTGGTTGGTTTGCGCTAGAAAGGTTATGTCTGAAGGTCTTAGTTTAAGCTGGAATACATTAATTTCTGAATAGTCAACATTCTATTGCTATCATCACTGAAGGCAATCAGCAGAATGTATTTACATATATTTCCTTGTATGTCTGCCTTTACATATTTTAATTAAATGATTTATAGCATAGTAGACAGAAATTCTATTTTGTTTAGATCATTATTACTCAATGTACCCAAATTGCATTAGGAAAGATAGCTTAAATGTGTTTAATAGCAGAGACAAGGTAATAAAATGCTCAGTGAGAACTGATCTAACACTTTGGAAAAAAAAATACTAAGGAGGATAATGACAGTAGTAGTAATAATAAAAGCAAATGCTTATATATCTGTTTTACTATATGCCAAGCATGTTCTAAGTAAATTCTATACTAACTCACTTAATTCTCATACCTACCCCATGAAACACTAATATGTTTCTCTATTAGGAATAAGGAAATTGAGGCATAGAGAGACTAAGTAGCTTGTCCAAGGTCATAAAGTTAAGATTGGAACCTCGGCAGTATGGCCCCAAAGGCTGGTGCTCTCAGTCACTGGACTACACAGCAGTCCCCCTTATCAGTAGGAGATACGTTCCAAGATCCCCAGTGGATGCCTATGACTGAGGATAGTACCAAACCCTATATACACTACATTTTTTCCTATACATACACACCTATGCCAAAGTTTAATTTATAAAATAGGCACAGTAAAGAGATTAAGTGATTATAAAATAGAACAATTGTAACAATATACTGTAATAAAAATTATGTGAATGTGGTCTATCTTCACCTCTGGGAACTGAAACTGAAAAGCAAAGTGAAAGTGAAAAGCAAAAACTGCAGATAAGGAAACACTACTGCACTGCAAAGTGACGAAGCACTGAGAAAAACTAGTCCTGTCTTCCTAGCTTTAACCAGCAAGTGCCCTTCATATTTCTAAATTTAGGGAACATGCCCACTTCACAATTAGTATGCATCTTTCTTTTCTGCATCTCATTTTTCTTTTCATTCATTAGTGTAGTGTTGAAGTTATAAACAGCTTCCCCCACCACAAATAACCATTTAACAGTTGATGCCAAAAATTCAGTAGATATTTTACTAAACAAAATCAGAGTTCCAATCCTGGATCTAATGGACATACTAAAATAAGTCTTTCTTGCTTCAGAGTTATGTTCAGTTCAGTTATACTCTGAACTTCTTGGACTTGCTTTTATTTTAATAATTCCTGGCCAGGCACGGTGGCTCACACCTGTAATCCTAGCACTTTGGGAGGCCAAGACGGGCGATCACCAGAGTTTGGGACCATCCTGGCCAACATGGTGAAACCCATCTCTACTAAAAAATATAAAAACTAACCAGGCGTGGTGGCACATGCCTGTAATCCCAGCTACTCGGGAGACTGAGGCAGGAGAATCACCGGAGCCTGGGAGGTAGAGGTTGCAGTGAGCTGAGATTGCACCACTGCACTCCAGCCTGGGCAACAGAGCGAGACTCTGTCTCAAAAAAAAAAAAAAAAAATTCCTTTCTGAGTTTGTGCCAGGAGCCCATAATACACCAAGTTAAAAAGTTCATAAACATAGCTATCAAAACCTATCTTTTAAGAACATAACATTTGGGAAGTTCTCAAAGGGAATTGATGGCTTACAAGATTTGCTTCTTTTTTGGAGAAATCTACCTTGAATGGCACCAGAAGCTTGAAATCCACATTGTAAACTTTAACCCTGAAAATAGCCACTTAATTACAAATAAAAAAGATCTCCAATTTAAGAAATGTTTTTGTTTGTTTTTAGTCTTTCAGTCACTTGATAATACAACTCTAGGCTGGAATCCAGAAAACCAGTCTAATTCAGTCACTTGACAGACAAAAAAAAAAACCCCTAAGATGTAGAGGTAAAGTGACTTGCTTGGTCACACAGCTAATTCACCAGAACCAAGAGTGAAACCCAGGCTTTCTGATTCAGCTGTTTCCACACCTGGTAAAAGAACAAGGGGTTCTGCACTGCTCTGGCAATTTTTCCTAAGCACGTGTTCCCAGGTGCTGAGATGACTGTGTAGGTTGTGTGAACCTCATACAACTGGGCTGCATCTGAAGAGATGTCATTCAACCGTGGACACTGTAGATCTGTACACATTTTATGAGAATGTTCTGGCTGTTAGCAGTACAATGGGTTGTGCTCATGAAGGCAAGCAATCTTGGAGAGACCCAAGTTGCAAATCACTTCTCAGTCCCAGAGGCCGCATGACAAGAAAGAAAAAAAAAACAACAACCCCTTTTTATTTTTTATCTTAAGCTCCATTCTCCTTTGAATTAATGTTGACTTTGAAGAGAAAAAGGCAAAACACAAGCAAAGAAACAGATATTTATTTAAAAAGGAAATTCCAGGGAAAGTACCCTGCTTTACCTTAGGAGCTGCATCCGGCCAAATTACTTATAGCATCGGCATCTGCAACCATATGATCCCTGATGTTTAGAAATCGTGATCCTGAAGCCCTAAATGATCCCCAATCAAAAAGCAGTTAAGTTATATCTACCATACTGTGCTAAGAAAGTCTATTTTATCATGGTTTTCAACCAGAATTAAAATAGGAAAAAAGGGGGTTTTCTGGCTAACCAGAAAACTCTGTTCCCTGAGCATCCCAACAAACTGAGCCTGTGTAATAAAGAGACTGCTCTCTCTAAACAATCAGTCTAGCATAACTCATCAAGTATAAACCAAACCAATCACCAACCAAAGGAAAAGATCCACCCCTTCTAACTTAAAACATTGAAGATATTAAATGAGTGTTCTTCACTTTTGGAAACAATGTGAAATGTCTGTATTATACACAGTTGCAGACACATCAGAAAAAACAAATTAATTTTCTATGAAATTGCTAGCTGCTCTTTGTTTCAATTAAATATGAAAATAATAAAGACTGCTTTAGCACAGGAAGAGATAAATATGTGGTTGAACTAATACAGCAGGATGTTTCAATACTGTTAGACTGTGGGCTTTCATAATCCAGAAGGCTGGATGTTGCACGGAACACTTTCAAGTCCATCTACAGAAGGACTCAGGTTCTGCTACCATGGATAAACCTTGTAGTGACTGGTCAGAACCTCCCAATGAACAACTCAGAATCCTAGGTCTAAGTCAGGCAGCAAATGATGTATTTTGGAAGAGTAGCGGTCAAATTTACCAATTCAGTGATCTCAACATGTGACTATTCTTGAAAGAAAAAAAAGCTTGGCAACAGAAAAAACTAATAATAAAACAAGAAAGAACAATCTTTCTGGCCAGGATCCCAGTTATTTTTCAGACAAAATGTATTTATTTATTTTTTTGAGACGGAGTCTCGCTCTGTCGCCCAGGCTGGAGCACAGTCTCGGCTCACTGCAAGCTCCGCCTCCCAGGTTCACACCATTCTCCTGCCTCAGCCTCCCAAGTAGCTGGGACTACAGGCGCCTGCCACCATGCTTGGCTAATTTTTTTGTATTTTTTAGTGGAGACGGGGTTTCACTGTGTTAGCCAGGATGGTCTTGATCTCCTCGTGAGCCGCCCACCTCAGCCTCCCAAAGTGCTGGGATTACAGGCGTGAGCAACCACGCCCAGCTGTCAGACAAAATTTTTAAGAAAACAAAATTTTTTCCAGAATATTACATTACAAAAATCAATGAATAAATGAACTACACTGTAACTTTAATACTTATTCCATATGAAAAACCAAACTGTTTCTGGCAATTTGATTGATCTCTTGAGAGTCTGCAGTGCATTCATTCCATGGTTAAAACCGTGTGTAGGCATTGCGTTGCTGCTGCTGCTGTAATGGCTGCTGGGCTTGCTGCTGTTGTAAGCGAATTTGCTGGGAATAAGGGTCTTCCAGGGATTTTACAAATATGGTAGTTCTGGGACCAGTCTTCCATACTATACCATTGGCATCTTTCACAGAAGATTCCACTGTAATGTTGTGTGTTCCAAGGATAGCAAAGTTCAACAGAAATTGAGTACTGAAGTAATCATTATGAGGTTCAACCCTTTGCTCCATCTCATTGGTCATGTTGTCAATGGGTATCTGCAATGAAACAATTGTTAACTAACAACAATGGCTAACATTTCTTCAGTGCTTACTATGAGTTAGGCCCTGTTCTAAGAGCTTATTTAGACCATGCAGACAATAAAAAATTAGGTACTGCTATCATCCTTGCTTCACCGATGAGGAGTCTAAGGCAGACAGGTTAAGTAATGTCTCCAAAGTCACATGATTAGTGAACGGAGTAGGAATCTGAACACAGGCAGACTACCTCCAGGGCCTACACTCTGAACTACTAAGTGATGCTCCTCACTCTACTTGAGTAGAATGAGCTCCCAGAGCCGTTGACAGCCCCTTCACATGCTGGCCTTTCTTCCTTGCTTACTCAACCCCATCTCTAAATCCCTATCTTCCTTTAGACTGTGAAGAGATATTCTGAAGAAATAGGATGAAATCACCTGTTCCAGAGAGTTTAAAACCTAAGAGACTGAAAAAGAACAAAACACTAAGCAAATTTAAGTTAGGTTCCCCCCCAACAGTTAGTCTGATTTTTATTACTTAATGTAGTGATTCCTTACTCCTTTAACAAATTAACTGAACCATTTGTACATTGCTCATTTAATAAGCACTGTTTTGTTCAGACTGGAAGTACAATATGTTATAAAACACAGATTTATAGGCTCATTCATTTAGCCAGACACTCATGCCTTTGTTCTTCAAAGACCAGAATAAAACCTGCTGACGTACTCTTACCTGTACCCAAGATGAAACGTGTCAAGAGACAGATTTATCCTGAGAATGCAAATAAAGGTGATCTTAATGTGTATTTGACCAAATTACTCTAGGTTTATGTGCGTGTTTCTGTGGTGTAATTAATTATATAAATGTGCCCTGCAGCTTTGTGTCTCAAGGAGCAGTTATCATGTCACTTTTCCAGAGACATTTACCTGTAATAGTAATGAACTGACGTCACCAACCAATTCAAGGTCTTAGAATTATTTATAGTACAGGTACTTTTTCACATTTAGCCTTTGTACAGTTTTTATTTCCCTAAAGAATATGCCAACCAAAGAACTTCCTTAAAAGGACCAGAAATAGGCCTAGGGAACCTGATCACCCTGAATGGATGGCTGCATCTTAAGCTGCAAACTCACTGTGAATAACACTGCAAAGTAATCATGTTATTACTCGGCTTATTATATCAGCTTCCTGACTTTAATCAATGCCTCTTGAGAGGTAGGTCAACAAGCAGAAGACCATAGCTTCTAGGTTTGAATGTTATTTTCTTAACAGTAGAAATTATATGCAAGTAACAAAGAGAATCATGGTTACTACTGTTTCAAATTCAAAGTGAAGAGAGAGTTGCAGACAGGGATAAATTATGTAAATTCTCATTACAACCTTCTGTGACAGCAGATACCCAATTTTAACAGTTATACTCTAAATATAGTAAATAATTTTTTCATCATTCACAAATTATTGAGTGGCTACATAAGGTACCATGCTGTATGGCACAGAAGTCAAAACAGAGGAAAAGAGGAGAATGAAGGCTCAGCCGTGTCAGAGTGGACAGAGTGCCAAAGTGAGAGGAACTTGCCATAGTTAAGAAAGTAGTAATGGCTTAAGAAAGTAATAATAGTTTAGAACCAGACCTTCCCTTGGCTTTTTAACCTAAAACCACCAAAGATAATAAAATGCTCTCTTTTTATACCTTCACTGATACCCTGCCTTCCATGCTATGCCACAATAAACCTGGACACAGCCAATCTGGGCATCTGAGTAACTTCGCTGCTACAACTGTGGACTTGGTCCCTTGCTTCATTTACTGTGGATAAACCACCAGGGAATCGGAAATAAATGTCTAAAGCAAGGAACATTCTTTATCTCGAACACTGGCATTTCATGGGCACAGATTCAGCATCTTAGCTCTGGCTAACAATGTAGCCTAATTCAGGTTATTACTTACCTATATCCTGAGTTCCCAAGGCAGCAAATCCCTAGGGTTACACTCTTAAAAAAAGATTTTACTTTATCTGATCATTTTATAGAAATGCTATATACTTTTTTTAATGATAAAATTTACTTAAAATGGAGAAAACTAAATAGATGTGTATTTTTTGTGGGGAGGGATTGGGTGGGTTAGGGAGACACTTATTTTCCAACTTCTGACGTTTGAAGGGACCTCCTGATGTAAGAGAGACCTTTCGTTAGATTAATATTACTGACCTAGCAGGGAGGAGGTGAGTCTTGCTGATGGGTGACTTTCTGGGCAGGAACCAGACATGGGAAGGTAAGCACTTGCTCTTTCTCTTCTGCTTTGGGCACCTGAGTCCTCTGTGCCCTGCCATAAATTTTATAGGGGCAGGCTCCCATACGTACTGACTGAGGCTGGGTGAAAAAATCCAATTCAGGGGTCTACGGTTAGAAAGGCCTTGCTGCCAGGCATTGGAGTTAGGTTTTCCCACAGCTCCAACAGTAATAAAACTCATATTTTGATCTTTGCCTGGATGCTTTGTCTCTATCAACTGGTTCAGGGAGAGAAAAAGAAGTGTTTATCAACCCCTTACAGCCCCAATGTGGGCTTTTAATTTATGTCCATCTGATCCCTTTGGAGGTATAACTGCAATCTATTTAACCATGAAAAACACTGGAAAACTTCCATCAATGAGCTCATATAAAACCTGTATCACAATTCTGCCTCTTTTCTAAATTACCTTGTAGTCTTGTCCAGATTTACTCTGCAGTGTGGAAGAAACATTCAGACAGACAGACTGAATTTTGCGGAAGAGTCCTGGTTTAGATCCGTGCTGAACCACTCCCTCTACCTTTAGCGCCAGCTGCTGGTTATTCTGGACAGCAATGGGCTCTGCAGGATTCCGGGGCGATGGTGACAGAGCAAGCTGGAATGCCAACACTCAAATAAATGCCAACAACCAAGAGCAAGCTTCCTTCCGACAAACATGTCTGTGCTAATCACTGGTTACAGGTTAACAAATTCGATTGTGCACTCCCCCACCCCCACAGGACCTGACTGTGCCAGGACAACGAGACAGATGTACCTTTAAAGTGCCTCCTTCTAAACATCACTGTGGTTTTCATCCCAAACCTCAGTTCTATTTGAGGATAATAGAGAATTAGAAAAAAGCAAAGGCACTATTCTCCCAATTTTTGTGGTGAGGCATTTCTTTGACAATGAACCACTTCTAGTAGGGAAAGGCATTATATAAATTTTCATTACCTAAGAGCTGTCTCTTTGGTCTTACGTAATTTTAAATAAACTAAATTCAAATGTAAATGAACTTAAAGTTCCAGGATTATCTACACAACGAAGTCACTGTGCTATAAAAAAAGTCAATATCTACAAATGAATCAAATGACATTTTTCACCTCTCATTAGTTTTTCTTCAAAAATGTATTAAAAATCCCAAACACATCAATTAAAGAAAGCCCAAGTCTTGCTAAATGAAAAGATGGAAGAAATTTGAGTCTTTTTGATAATGTTGTTGAACTACTGATCAACCCTGGAGACATCCTACTTTAGGACTTCTTATCTAGATCGTCAAATCTTCCTCATTATTCCAGTCATTTTGAAATGGAATGCTCTGTTATTTGTAATCAAAACATTTGCATGGATGTAAAAGTTTACTGAAGACATTAACTAACAGGGATAATCCAGGAGATCTCTTAGAAGTGACAATTTTCTCCCTTTTCCAACAATTTCATTTTCTGAATCAAAAATAGCTTTTGAATTGTGAGTGGCTTAAATATTTCAAAATACTAATTCTACTCACTGGTTAGCCCCTCAAAACATGTTACTGAAAGGCAGAAGTACTTTGGAAGAAGAACTGGTGACAGTTTACTGGATCTGATTCATTCTAAGTTGGGTCTATAAGTTGGGTCTGAATAGACTCAGCTCAAGATCCTTGCAGGCTACTGTGATAAATCACTAATTTATTCCTGGAGGTGAGAGACAAACAACAGAGCTCCAGTTACCCAAATGCCTGTCTCATAGAATTTGGCACTGACAATTAAAAAGGGAGAGAGTTTAACTCCCAAATTCATTTCTTTCACCAAACCACTTGATAAAGGAGAGAAATGGCTTACAACTAGGTTTTATCAAAACCAAAGGTAAGCCAGGCACAGTGGCTCATGCCTGTAATCCCAGCACTTTGGGAGGCAGAGGTGGGTGGATCACTTGAGGTCAGGAGTTCCTGACCAGCCTAGCCAACATGGTGAAACCCCATCTTTACCAAAAATAAAAAAATCAGCTGCGTGAGGTGGTGGATGCCTGTAATCCCAGTTCCTTGGGAGGCTGAGGCAGGAGAATCGCTTGAACCCGGAGGTTGCGGTGAGCCAAAATCACACCACTGTACTCCAGCCCAGGCGACAGGGCGAGACTCTGTCTCAAAAAACAAAACAAAACAAAAAAACCAATAAACCAAAGGTAACACACTGAAGTGTAGCTATGTCCTACATAATCTTCAGAAGACACCTGGTTTTAAAACCTATATTAACCTTAGTATTCTTCCTGTATTACCTTGATGCTGGTAGACTGTAGTTTCTGGAAAAAATATCTCTGGAAAGAAAGGGGAACTTTCAGCAAAGCAATGATGGCATTGCAGAGGCATGCTGTGTGCTGGGGGAAAAAAGAAACTAAATCAAATAAAAATAAATTTTCAAATTTCATCAACAAGTGGTACATTCAGTATAAAACTACAAATGCCCATATAGATTATTACAAAGGTACATACCAATCAAGAACTAGGCATCACATCCAGGAACTGTGCATACATACTAAATCATTCATTACAGATTTTTACTTTATTGTGAAGTATATTCAATAAAATATAAGTGACAGAAATGAGAAAATCCACAGTCCTCGAGGCCAAGCAATAGGCAAATTCCACATTTCTACAGCGCTCAGAACTATCAGTATATTATTAAACAATTATATTAGATACTAAAATATAGAGTAACTATCACATGGCAAAGTATGATAAACAGTATGGTAAAGAAGCCCGAGCATTTTGCAGGACTTTGGCTTTGAGCTGGCTCATTCTTTCATTAGGTGGCTTGTCTCTATGGCCATTGGTCCTCAGAGTAAGCAGTGGTGGAAACTTGGTCGAATTCAGATGAAAGAGGACTATATAGTCGGGGAATCCTGAAACTCTAATAAAATATCTTATTTCTCAAATCTGCCTCACACATTTAACTGAGTTTTGAAAATCCCAGCATGACTGCAGAGGTACAGAAACACCACAGAGAATATTTTGAGCCTTAATGAAAGTGGTCATAAAATCAGAATTTAAGCGTTCAAAGATATTTTAAAGATTACCCAGTCTAATAGAAGAAAACTGAAAGTATCATAAGAACACTTTTAACTTCAGGTGAACCAGAACCATTCCTGCTTGGTCTACTATCCCTTCCTCAGTCTACTCCCGTCTCAGTGGCCTCGTAAGTCACCACAGTGAGGCAGCGCTCCTTTCACGGGGGCACTAGCTGCGGGAGGTCTGTTCTTGCAGACCCGATTCAGCAACGGATAAATAAAGTATGCTGACACACAGATATTCTGCTCTGCCAGTCCAGCTGAGGGTCCCAGCCGCTTACAGGCTCCTGCTGAGTCCTGTAAACAGTTGCAACTAGGCCCTGATCAGCTAGTCAGACTCGCATTTATTCAGTAAGATTAATTAACAAAAGCTTGAGTCAACACCATTAGAGGGAAATTGACATTGTGGACTTCTGAGTAAAAGGCACTTAAGCACTCACGGTACATCAAAGGTTAGTCTTTATATGAGTAAACAAGCTAGCCAGGTAAACTACTCTGCCTTTCTTTATTACTATTTTAATTTGTTTAAAGGTAAAGAGATCAGGCCGCCTTCAGCCAGATCTATTACTGAAGTTAGGCAAACTTCTCAGCCTTCCAAGAAGATTTGTGTCTATTTCTATAACTATCTCTAATATTTTTCCCACCAGCCTGATTGAAACCCAACACCACAGGTTGAAAACTGCTGCATGCACCATGTGGTATGCTGTCTGTCCCTCTAGGCTCCTGCTTTCAAGCAGAGTGTCACCTAGTTGCTCATGCTGTAAACATTTTTTTTTTTAAAGTTGGGTGTTAAGGCTAAAAGCCAGAAAAATCCATTCCTTATTGGGTTCAGGCAATTGAACATTTTGTGCCCAACAGACTCATAGTACAAATGCCAAGTCTATTACCTGAGATAATCACAACACAGATTTAAAGACACTGGTTCTATTTTTTCAGATTTAACTGTTAAAATAGCATTAATCAGCTTCCTGCAACAAGTAATTTGGAAAGTATTTGCAGAGACATCCACCTTTGGTGGACCTCTGATGCCACACTAGTGTCTAAGGAGAGAAACATCTTTGAAGCGTGGACTCAGAGGACCACAAGGGACTTCAGGCTGTTTTCAGGCAGAAAGTCACCATTTTGCCTTTTAAAAGAATGGTGCAGATTTTGCAATACCCTCTTGGAAAAGTGTGGAGTGCCTCTGAGGTCAACAGCCCCTTGGGTATTGACCTCCATAGGTGTATTAGCAGATCACTATTAAGATGTCTGGAGATGTAAATTACGTATCATGATCAGTAAACCAGCAGAAAGACGTTAACGCTTTTTGTTTTGTTTTGTTTTGTTTTTTGAGACGGAGTCTCTCTCTGTTGCCCAAGCTGGAGTGCAATGGCACAATCTCGGCTCACTGCACCCTCGGCCTCCCAGGTTCAAGCAATTCTCCAGCATCAGCCTCCTGAGTAGCTGGGATTACAGGCATGCGCCACCACGCCTGGCTAACTTTGTATTTTTAGTAGAGACAGGGTTTCACCATGTTGGTCAGGCTGATCTCAAACTCCTGACCTCGTGATCCACCCGCCTTGGCCTCCCAAAGTGCTGGGATTATGGGCATAAGGCACTGTGCCTGGACAATGCTCTCTTAATTGTCAATCCAATGGATACTTTTCAGTCTTTGTATTTTCTGACATTTCTGTGGCACCTGATAATGCTCTTCCTTCCATGAAATTCCACCTAATAGTCCATACCCTTATTTCTGATTCTTCCTTTTGCCATCTTCTTTTTAAAGAGCCTCTTCTTTTGTGTGTTCCTTAAATGCTGATGCTCTCCTTGTTGTCTTCTCTTCTCAATCCATGTTTTTCATAGGCAATTCTCCCCACTCCCGTGACTTTAAGAACTTCTATGTGCAGATGACCTTATATGCATCCCAGCCCATCTTTCTTCCAACTGCAACGTATTTACTATCCAACTGCCTAAAGACAGCAACATGTTTGAAAGTAAAACCTTCATCTTCTATCACCTCTCTATATTCTCTCAGTAAAGGATCAATCAGTTGTGTAACTGATCATTCAAGCTGGAAACCTGGAAGGCATGCCTCCATCATCTCATGTCTAGTTAAAAAACTCAGCCTTGAAAATATTTTCACTAAATATCTCTCATATATATCTATTTTTCTCATTCCTACTGCCATTTTAGTAATTTGTTCCTTAGTTTGGATTACTGAAAAAGCCTTGTAGTCATTCTTCTTTCCTCTAATTCCACACCCTGCCAGCCATTTCCTGTTTTGCTTCTATATGATAATATACAATCTATATTAAGCACTTCTCTCTCCTACCCATTTACAATTTCTAAGAAGCCCCCCTGTGCCTAAGGACAAAGTCCAAGCTCCCTTATACTGTGTTCAAAGCCTTTTGTCACCTGGCCACTGGCTACCTCTCTGATTTCATCTCTCTAATCCCTAGCCTGTATGTTACATTGAAGTAATAACAAACTGTTCCTAGAAGACATCACCCTATTTCATGCCTCTGCTTTTGAATATGTTCTCTACCTGAGATTCCCAACCCCTTCTTATCTGTCTGGAAAACTCATATACAAATACATCTTCCCTCTCAACTGCACCACCAATCCATTTTCCCTATCTTTTGATGTGAACTACTCTCTTTTTTGTACTACATCTCTACCTTGTGCAGAATTCTATTAATGCACATATACTGTATTGTGTTTGTTTATAAAATCTTTCTTTCTTAGACTATGGACAACTTGAGGGAAGATCCTGTGTCTTTGTCATTTTTCTATCCCTAGGATCCCATAAATACTTGTTGAACTGAATCTGGAGGCTCAGACAGTAACAAATCTATAAAGTACAACTTGGAAATACAGAAAAAGGGAAATAACTTACTTACTTACTTATTTATTTGAGATGAAGTTTCACTCTTGTCACCCAGGCTGGAGTGCAATGGCGTGATCTCGGCTCACTGCAACCTCCGCCTCCCGGGTTCAAGTAATTCTCCTGCCTCAGCCTCCCAAGTAGCTGGGATTACAGGTGCTTGACATCATGCCTGGCTAATTTTGGTAGTTTTAGTACAGATGGGGTTTCACCATGTTGGGCATGCTAGTCTAGAACTCCTGACCTCAGGTGATCCGCCCACCTTGGCCTCCCAAAGTGCTGGGATTACAGGCATGAGCCACTGCGCCCGACCGGGAAATAACTTTTATTAACCACTCCCTATATGACAGCACTGTGCTAGGCAATTAGCATTATTTCATTTAAACCTCACAGTAATCCTATGAGGCAGGTATGTTTTCTACTTCATATAAAAGGATGTTAAGCAATGTGACTAAAGTCACACAGCTGCTGAGCAGCAATGCCAGAATTTGAACCTAGTTCTGAATGAGCCTAGGGCCCTTTTCTCTGTACTGTGTCTTCTGCTGGGCAGAAAATTCCCATTCCGTTATATTCAATTCCATCAAAATGAAGTTTGTTTAGCATCTATTTCATTTTTTAGGATGGAGCTTAGAAGAATATGAAAATAACCACTGTCTCACACAGATGTGTGTATTTCTTTCAAAGACTGTCTTTACACTCTCCCTTAGCAAACAATGTCACTGTCAAACAGCTGTCAATTCAATTCAGTAAATACTATTGACAATTTTACATGGAAAGCAATATGTCAAAGGAATTGCCCATCTTTAGATCTAACCTAACTCTTTAATGACATCCTATTTATTCTAAAACACTTGATAAAGCATGAAAGTACAGAATGAGAAGAGCAGAAGCAGAAGAGAAACTCTCCAAGGGGTAAAGTTCAAAGGCTGGGAATTGGGAACTGAATGTTTGTGTTCCCCCAAATTCGTATGTGGAAGCTGCAACCCCCAAGGTAATGGCATTTGGAGGTGGGCCCCCATGATGGGATGAGTGTTTTTTTTGTTTGTTTGTTTGGTTGGTTTTTTTTTGAGACAGAGTCCTCGCTCTGTTGCCCGGGCTGGAGTGCAGTGGCGCTATCTCAGCTCACTGCAACCTCCGCCACCCGGTTCAAGCGATTCTCCTGCCTCAGCCGCCTGAGTAGCTGGGATTACAGGCATGCGCCACCATGCCCAGCTAATTTTTGCATTTTCAGTAGACACAGGGTTTCACCATGTTAGTCAGGCTGGTCTCAAACTCCTGGCCTCGTGATCTGCCCACCTCACCCTCCCAAAGTGCTGAGATTACAGGCGTGAGCCACCGCACCCGGCCAGGATGAGTGTTCTTAAAGAAGAGGAAGAGTGACCAGAGCTCTCGATCTCTCCCTACCATGTGAAGATGTAATAAGAAGGTGGCTGTCACCAGGGCCAGGAAGAAAGTCCTCACCAGGAACCGAATCTGCTGGCAGCTTGATACTGGACTTTCCTGCCTCCAAAACTGTGAGAAATAAATGTCTGTTGTTTAAGGTACCAAGCCTACGGCATTTTGTTATAAAACCTGAGCAGAGATACTGGGGAATGGTCAGACAGGGAGGAGAAAATTTGGGTGAGAGTATGTTAGCCTGTCCTGTGACTGGGAAATCAGGGGAGAAGATAAAAAAAAGGGTGAGTGCTCTGAGAACTTCTTAGGAAGTGCCAAAGGCAGCAGAGATTCAGCAGGGTAAAGGCTGAAGAGTGTACTGAAAGGCATTAATGTCATCACCTGGTAGGAAATGACTCATTGCCAGTCAGCCAACAAGCCCTGTTCTTTCTGTTTCAATTGTCCAGTGGTTCTCCCAACCATGGCAGCATGACAGAATCACCTGAGTGTGTGTAAAACTACTAATGCCTGGGCCACAATTCCAGAAACTCAGAGTTAGCTGGTCAGGGGTGAGGCCTGTATATTAATGTATTCTTTAAAAAGCCCTCAAAGTGATTCTAATGTGTAGCCTGCGTTGAGAATTATTGCAACTTCAGTTAAATTGTTAAAAAAAGAAAAAATTTTATTTGCATTCTGGTAGAGCAGATTTTTATATATTAATATAACTACGTAGCAGCTAGAGATGTGCTAAGTACTTTCATGGATTATCTCATTTACTCCCCACTACAATGCTGTGAGGTAGGTATTAACCCTGTTTTATGGATAAGGAAACAGGCACAGAAAGGTTAATTTGTTGAACTCACACAGTAAGTGCCATAAATGTATGAAAAACCCACATCCATACAATAAAAGCTCAATAAAACAAATGCCACTTGCCATATAAGAAACAGGGGTATATTTCCGATTGAGTGATTCTACCTCCTCCAAGACATGATTATATACAGACATCATTCTTCTTTCATATTCACTATCAGCATGGGCTGTTCCAGTAGATCCATATTCCTGGAAACTGAAGTAAAGGTCAATATTCATTAATCCATCAAAATAGCATGGCTATTTAATGCCTACATGTATCAGGTACTTTCAACATATTTTCATTTAATTTTTAAAATAATGAAGTTATTTCCATTTACAGGTGAGAAAATTGAGGCTAGGAGAGGGTAAGTAGTTTGCCTACAGTCATACAGCTAGTAAATGGCAAGCCAGAATTCAAACCCAGGTCTGACTTCAAGTTATGTAATTCTTAATCTCTTTGGTTGCCAGGAAATATGACAGTGTTACTGCCACAGGTGAAAGAGACATAAACACATCTGAAAAGGGGACTATCAATAAAGCCAGCAGATAAGCTCCAAACCATCCATAAAGATATGTAATAACAGGTTAGATATATAAATAACAGGTCAGAACATGGAGGAATGTCACAGAAGAAGAGAGTCTTGAACATATCAGTAGGTAAGTAAGATGGGTAAACTTTGGAGAGATGGAAAGTACAGGACATTCATAGCTAGAGAAATGGCATGAATCTAAAGCATGGAGATGAAACGCATAGGCACGTTCAGAAGACAGTCTGTATACACAGCGTGCTGGGATAAGTTTAACCTAGATTTCTTTCTTTTTCCTCTACTGCTTTGAACCCCTGCAAATTTCTGAAAACATTTCTAAGTGAAAAAAGGCATTTCTATTTTATTTTTTTAACTTATTATTTTTTAATTTTATTATCATTATACTTTAAGTTTTAGGGTACATGTGCACAATGTGCAGGTTTGTTACATATGTATACATGTGCCATGTTGGTGTGCTGCACCCATTAACTCGTCATTTAGCATTAGGTATATCTCCTAATGCTATCCCTCCCCCCTCCCCCCACCCCACAACAGTCCCTAGAGTGTGATGTTCTCCTTCCTGTGTCCATGTGTTCTCATTGTTCAACTCCCACCTATGAGTGAGAACATGCGGTGTTTGGTTTTTTGTCCTTGCGATAGTTTGCTGAGAATGATGATTTCCAGTTTCATCCATGTCCCTACAAAGGACATGAACTCATCATTTTTTATGGCTGCATAGTATTCCATGGTGTATATGTGCCACATTTTCTTAATCCAGTCTATCGTTGTTGGACATTTGGGTTGGTTCCAAGTCTTTGCTATTGTGAATAGTGCCGCAATAAACATACATGTGCATGTGTCTTTATAGCAGCATGATTTATAATCCTTAGGTATATACCCAGTAATGGGATGGCTGGGTCAAATGATATTTCTAGTTCTAGATCCCTGAGGAATTGCCACACTGACTTCCACAATGGTTGAACTAGTTTACAGTCCCACCAACAGTGTGAAAGTGTTCCTATTTCTCCACATCCTCTCCAGCACCTGTTGTTTCCTGACTTTTTAATGATTGCCATTCTAACTGGTGTGAGATGGTATCTCATTGTGGTTTTGACTTGCATTTCTCTGATGGCTAGTGATGGTGAGCATTTTTTCATGTGTTTTTTGGCTGCATAAATGTCTTCTTTTGAGAAGTGTCTGTTCATGTCCTTCGCTCACTTTTTGATGGGGTTGTTTTTTTCTTGTAAATTTGTTGGAGTTCATTGTAGATTCTGGATATTAGCCCTTTGTCAGATGAGTAGGTTGCGAAAATTTTCTCCCATTCTGTAGGTTGCCTGTTCACTCTGATGGTAGTTTGTTTTGCTGTGCAGAAGCTCTTTAGTTTAATTAGACCCCATTTGTGAATTTTGGCTTTTGTTGCCATTGCTTTTGGTGTTTTAGACATGAAGTCCTTGCCCATGCCTATGTCCTGAATGGTATTGCCTAGGTTTTCTTCTAGGGTTTTTATGGTTTTAGGTCAAACATGTAAGTCTTTAATCCATCTTGAATTAATTTTTGTATAAGGTGTAAGGAAGGGATCCAGTTTCAGCTTTCTACATATGGCTAACCAGTTTTCCCAGCACCATTTATTAAATAGGGAATCCTTTCCCCATTGCTTGTTTTTGTCAGGTTTGTCAAAGATCAGATGGTTGTAGATATGCGGCATTATTTCTGAGGGCTCTGTTCTGTTCCATTGATCTACATCTCTGTTTTGGTACCAGTACCATGCTGTTTTGGTTACTGTAGCCTTGTAGTATAGTTTGAAGTCAGGTAGTGTGATGCCTCCGGCTTTGTTCTTTTGGTTTAGGATTGACTTGGTGATGTGGGCTCTTTTTTGGTTCCATATGAACTTTAAAGTAGTTTTTTCCAATTCTGTGAAGAAAGTCATTGGTAGCTTGATGGGGATGGCATTGAATCTATAAATTACCTTGGGTAGTATGGCCATTTTCACGATACTGATTCTTCCTACCCATGAGCATGGAATGTTCTTCCATTTGTATCCTCTTTTATTTCATTGAGCAATGGTTTGTAGTTCTCCTTGAAGAGGTCCTTCTTGTCCCTTGTAAGTTGGATTCCTAGGTATTTTATTCTCTTTGAAGCAATTGTGAATGGGAGTTCACTCATGATTTGGCTCTCTGTTTGTCTGTTATTGGTGTATAAGAATGCTTGTGATTTTTGTACATTGATTTTGTATCCTGAGACTTTGCTGAAGTTGCTTATCAGCCTAAGGAGATTTTGGGCTGAGACAATGGGGTTTTCTAGATATACAATCATGTCATCTGCAAACAGGGACAATCTGACTTCCTCTTTTCCTCATTGAATACCCTTTATTTCCTTCTCCTGCCTGACTGCCCTGGCCAGAACTTCCAACACTATGTTGAATAGGAGTGGTGAGAGAGGGCATCCCTGTCTTGTGCCAGTTTTCAAAGGGAGTGCTTCCAGTTTTTGCCCATTCAGTATGATACTGGCCATGGGTTTGTCATCGATAGCTCTTATTATTTTGAGATACATCCCATCAAAGTCATTTCTAACTAAACTTTTGAAAATACAATGTAGGTAATTTAAATATGCTGGGCATAAGACTACTCTGATTATTCCCTACTATCATTTTAATGCCTACTATGTACAAGGCATTTCAGCCAGGTATTTTACATATATTAGTTCATTTAATCTTCACAACTACTCTGGGAAACAGGCATCATTATCTACCTACAGTTTATGCATACGTGGCTCACTGAGATGACATACATTCACAGAGCTAGGAGTGACTGGTAAGGGATTCATGTTCACATTTGCTGGGCTCCAAAGTTCTGTTTCCTGTTCTGTACTATATCTTAAGTTCTATTAAGACAAGAACTGAAGCTCATTTGTATGATGGACTTTAAGGACAGCTAAACTACATAAAAGACTTGCTAACAAAACAATTCCATTTCTGGTGGTAGGCAACCACAGATTTGCTTTTTATCTCTGTACATAAGATTTGTTTCCTGATAGTTCATATAAATAGAGCCATACAATACATACTCTTTTGTGTATGGTGTGGGGTAAGGAAGATTATTTTTTCCCTTTTATATATGTAGTTGTTCTAGCACAATCTGTTGAAAAGACTATTCTTTTCCCATACAATTATTTTGGCATCTTTGACAAAAATCAAGTGACTACGTGAGTATTTCTGGACTCTTAATCCTACCCTTAAACCATCATCACATTGTCTTAGTTACTGTAGTTTTATATTAAGTCTTGAAACCAGTAGTTAAGTCTTGACACTTTAGTTTTTCTTATTTTGCAATATGGCGAAGTACTTAAATTGATTTTCTAATGTTAACCCAACCTTGTATTCCTGGGATAAACCCTATTTAGTCTTAATGTATTATATTTATATATATTGTTGGACTGAACTTTTTAAAAAAATTTTTGTCTATGCTAATGAAGAATATTTAAATTTGTCCTGTTCACCTAAGCAAATTTCTTTGCACAAAGTTATTCTTCCCTTATTATGCTTTTAATATCTGTAAGATTTGTAATGATGCCACTATTTTATTTCTACTATTAGTGATTTATTTTTTTTCTTGCTCAGACTAGTTTTATCAATTTTATTAATCTTTTCAAAGAACCAGCTTCTGGTTTCACTGATTTTCTCTTTTGGCTTCTTTCACAGCATGTTTCGGAGGGCACGCATGGTTTCTGTATGACCTGCTGAATGATCAACAGGTCATTCATCTTTATTACTTAGTATTTCATTTGTGGATATACTACAATTTGTTTATCCATTAGCCTACTGAGAGACACTTGGGTTTTTCCAGATTTGTTACTATGAATAAAGATGCTATGAACATTTGTGTATACATCTGTGTGGAAACATGTTTTCATTTCTCTTCGGTAGAACAGTAGGAATAGAATTGGTGGTCATATGATAAATTTATGTTTAACTTTATATGACATTGTCAAACAGTTTTCCAAGTGGCTGTATCATTGTGTATTCCCAACAACATACTAGTATGAATTCAAGCTCCTCCACATCTGCACCAACATTGGACACTGAAGGTCTTTTTAATCTTATCTGTTCTAGTGGGAGTAGTATCTCATTGTGATTTTAATTTCTCTAGTGATTACTGATGTCAAGCATCTTTTCATGTGCCTACTGGATATTAACATACCTTCTTTTTTGAAGTGTCCAAAACTCTTACCAGTTTTATAAAATTGGATTGTCAGCCGGGCATGGTGTCTCATGCCTATAATCCCAGCACTTTGGCAGGCTGAGGCGGGTGGATCACCTGAGGTCGGGAGTTTGAGACCAGCCTGACCAATATGGTGAAACCCTGACTCTACTAAAAATACAAAAATTTGCTGGGCATGGTGACGCATGTCTGTAATCCCAGCTACTCGGGAGGCTGAGGCAGGAGAATCGCTTGAACCTGGGAGGTGGAGGTTGCAGTGAGCCGAGATCACACCACTGTACTCCAGCCTGGGCGACAGAGAGAGGATCCGTCTCAAAAAAAGAAAGAAAAATCGGATTGTCGAGTTGTATGGCGTTCTTAATAAAGCAATGTCTGAATAGAAGTCTTTTGATAGAATATGTTTTAAGAATATTTTCTTGCTGTCCGTAACCTTTTTCATTTTTTAAATGACATCTTAACAAAAGCAGATTTAAAAGTTTAAATCCAATTCAGCAAATTTTTCTCTTATGGTAACTGCTGTTTGTGTCCTAAGAAATCATGACCAATTTCAAGGTCATGAAGAGGTTTTCCAATGTAGTCTTCTAGAAAGTTTGGAGTTTTATATTTTAGTATTCCACTTTATGGCTCTACTGGCTTGTTTTATTTCTTGGTGGCTGCTCTAGAGTTTAAAATATTCACCCTCAGTTTATCAGAAGTTACTGTCAAATGATATACTACTAAATGTAAGATTCTTACTACTATATCCCCCCGTTGTCTTATTTCATATATTTTACTTCTATATGTTAAAAACTCCTAAACATCATTTTTGCTATAAACGGTCAAATATCTTTTTAAAAATTAAAAAAAAAAACAAAAACATTTACCACTTGTAATCCTTCTTACTCAGTTTTGTAGGTCTGAGTTTATATCTGAAATAATTTTCCTTCAGCCTAAAAAAGTTCCTTTAACATTTCTTGTAGTACAGATCTGCTGATGGCAAAATTTATCAGATTTTTTCTGAAAATGCCTTAATTTAACCTTGATTTATTGTATGGTATTTTTCCTGAATATGGAATTATAGGTTAACATTTTTTTTTCCAGGACTTTAAAGATGTTGCTCCACTTGTCTTTTGGCTTGTAATATTTCTGATGAGAAATCAGTAGATATTCTGATCTTTCTTCCCTTCTAAATAATATTTTCTTCCCTTCTAAATAATATCTTCTTTCTCTTTAAAAAATTTTTCTCTTTATCATTGGTTTTCAGCAATTTGATTGCTACGTGTGCCTTGCTCTAATTTTATGTTTTCCCTGCTAGAGGTTCATTAAGCTTCTTGGCTCTGTGGGTTTATATGTTTAATTAAATATAAATGACTTTTAGCCATTTAAATATTTTTCTGTTCCCCCTTTCCCTCTTTCTGGGATTCCAGTTACATGCATATTAGTCTAAATGACATTACCCCACAGGCCAGCTTTGACTCTTCATTTTTTCAGCCTTTTTTCTTCCTCTGTTCCAATCTGGGTAGAGAAATTTAAACTGCTTTGTTGATTATATTCTCTTTGAGGAAACTGATATTGGAATCTCAGGCCTTACTAGATTGAAATTATAGATAGTGTAAATGGGCAAGATGGCTGACTAGACACAGCCAGGTGGAACAGCTACCACCAAGGGACCAGGATGACTGGTCCTCTCCTAACAGATCTTTAGAGGGAAGAGATTAAGGGTGGACAGAGGGAAGACACAGAAGCTGGGCTGAAGGGGAGGAAGCTGGGAGGGACCCCTGCATGGGGATATCGCACCGGGGGAACAGTGACTTGAACTGGCAAAAAAACAACCAGCTACTGCCACGGGCCTCTGGAATCCTGGCAGGAGATTCCTCGACCACTATGGACACTTGAGTTGGCACAGAGGGCTGCTTAGAGAAGTGTTAGGGGCCGTATTCTAGCCAATGCAGAGCCCAAAGGGTTTGGTGTGTGAGCATCTGTAGTGGAATACGGCCAGGGGCAGCCATCCCTCTAGGCTTAACTTGCTGACTTGCTCCCATAGGAGACTTTATCCCTAAGGGAACTGTCAGACCTCAAGCCTACAGAGCAGTCTTGACGATCAGATGGGGCCAGTCCATCTGGCCTCTCCTGGGGCCCCAACCTGGCTGTGCCTGCTTGCAGTGCAGCCTTGGGTGTCCTGGGGGGCCTGCATCATAGCTCCTGTGCTTGTGGACTGCGCCTAACTGGTAGTGAGCTCCAGCACAGCGGCCCAGCATGTGGACATGGGCCGGCTCACCTGCTCCCTCCCCGTACTGGCAGCTTTCCCTGGGCCCATGGCCACCCTCGACATTGCTTTGCCTGCGTGTGCATGGGCAGATCTTGCCTCCCCAGCCCCACAAGTGCACGTTCACCTTGCCCTGCCACTGCTGCTGGTGCATTCTGCCCCCATTACCCCCGCATTACCGCCATTGCATTTGGAGCTCCTGTGTCAACATTGCCCTGGGAGTGAAACCAGGCGTGAACAACAATGGACCTTCCCCTGCCCTAAGTGGCTACCTCCACCTACATAAGAGGGCACACACAGTTCTGTGTCTGCCAGCGCCACGCCCCTATGCTTATACTACCACTAGTGCCATGGCGTGCAGTTACCAACAGGGTTCCCCTGCACCCCACCGGCCACCTGCGCTGCCTCTGCTGCTGCTGTGAAGGCCCACACAAAGGCCGGCATCCCAGACCTGCTAGTATCCTGCCGCGGTGGACAAGTGTGCATCCCGTTATGCTGCTGTTGCTGCTGCTGGTATGTGCAACTGAGGATGGATCCTGCTGCCAACATCCTAATGAAACGCCTTGGCTGGCACCACCCATTGGAGTGTAGTAACCAGTGGCCCTGGAGCACCTTGGCCCCCTACCCAGCGCAGTCAGTTCCTAGCCTCAAGGAGCCAGAGAACAAAGTTGAGGCTCATATCAGTCCCCCAGAGCAGGTAGTCCAGGAGTTATGAGCTGAGCCTTGGCTCCCTGAAATCTTCTGGAAATGAAGCCAGTTGATTAAACCCACCTTATACCACAATCAAACTCTCAAGGTCATCAAATAGGATTAAAAAAAAAAACATGCAAAGGACAGCAACTTCAAAGATCGAAGGACCATCAGCCCACAAAGACGAGAAAGAACCAGTGCAAGAACTTTGACAACTCAAAAAGCCAGAATGCCTTTTTTCTTCCGAATGACTGCACTAACTCTCCAGCAAGCGTTCTGAACTGGGCTGAAATGGCTGGAATTACAGAAACAGAAATCAGAGTATGGATGGGAATGAAGATCATCAAGAAGGAGGAATACATTGAAACCCAATCCAAGGAAGCTAAGAAGCACAATAAAATTATACAGGAGCCAAAAGACAAGAATAACCAGTATAAAAAAGAATGTAACCAACTTGATAGAGTAGAAAAACAAACTGCAATAATTTCATAATGCAATCCTTAAAATTAATTGCAAAGCAGACCAAGCTGTGGAAAGAATCACAGAGCTTGAAGACTGGCTTTCTGAATAAGAGAGTAAGACAAGAATAGAGAAAAAACACTTTGGGAGGCTAAGATGGGTCGATCACTTGAAGTCAGGAGTTTGAGACAAGCCTGGCCAACATGTTGAAATCCCGTCTTTACTAAAAATAAAATAAAATTAGCCAAGTATGGTGCTGCATGCCTGTAATTCCAGCTACTCAGAAGGCTGAGGCAGGAGAATCACTTGAACCTGAGAGGCAGAGGTGGCAGTGAACTGAGATCGCGCCACTGCACTCCAGCCTAGGCAACAGTGAGACTCTGTCTCAGAAAAAAGAAAAAAAAATAGAGAAAAAAGAATGAAAAGGAATGAACAAAACCTCCGAGAAATATGGGATTATGTAAAGAAACCGAATCTACAACTCACTGATGTCCTGAAAGAGATAGGGAGAATGGAAGCAACTTGGAAGACATATTTCAGGGTATCATCCACGAGAACTTCCCCAACCTAGAAAAAGAGGCCAACATTCAAATTCAGGAACTGCAGAGAACCCCAGTAAGATACTTCACAAGGTCATCCTCGAGACATATAATCATGATTCTCCAAGGTCGCAATGAAAAAAGAAAAAAAAAGGCAGCTAGAAAGGTCAGGCCACCTACAAAGGGAAGTCCATCAGACTTAACAGCAGACCCCTTTGAGCAGAAACCCTACAAGCCAGAAGAGACTGTGGGCCAATATTCAATTCTTTTTTTTTTTTTTCCTGAGATGGAGTCTTGGTCTGTTGCCCAGGCTGGAGTGCAGTGGCATGATCTTGGCTCACTGCAACCTCTGCCTCCCGGGTTCAAGAGATTCTCCTGCCTCAGCCTCCTGAGTAACTGGGATTACAGGCACGTGCCACCATGCCCGGCTAATTTTGTATTTTTAGTAGAGACGGGGTTTTACCATGTTGGCCAGGCTGGTCTCAAACTCTTGACCTCAAGTGACCCTCCCACCTCGGCCTCCCAAAGTGCTAGGATTACAGGTATGAGCCACCTTGCCCGGCCTCAACATTCTTAAAGAAAAGAAATTCCAACCAAGAAATTCATATCCGGCCAAACTAAGCTTCATGAGTGACAGAAAAATACTATCTTTTTCAGACAAGCAAATGCTGAGGGAATTTGTTATCACCAGACCTGCCTTATTAGAGCTCCTGAAGGAAGCACTAAATATAGAAAGGAAAGACCAGTCACTACAAAAACATACTTAAGTACACAGACCAGTGAGACACTATAAAGCAACCACACAAACAAGCCTGCATGATAACCAGCTGCTATCATGATGACAGGATCAAATCCATACATCAATACTAACCTTTAATGTAAATTGGCTAAATGCCCCAATTACAAGGCACAGATTGGCAAGGTGGATAAAGAACCAAAACTCAATGGTATGCCAAGAGTCTCATCTCACATGCAATTACATCCATAGGCTCAAAATAAAGAGATAGAGAAAAACCTAACAAGCAAATGAAAAATAGAAAAAAGCAGCAGTTGCAATCCTAAATCAGACAAAACAGACTTTAAACCAACAAAGATTAAAAAAAAAAAAAAAAAAAAAAGACAAGGGTATTACATAATGGTAAAAGGTTCAATTCAACAAGAAGACCTAACTATCCTAAATACATATGCACCCAACACAGGAGCACCCAGATTCATAAAGCAAGTGCTTAGAGACCTTCAAAGAGACTTAGACTCCCACACAATAATGGTGAGAGAATTCAACACTCCATGACAGTATTAGATCACTGAGGCAGAAAATTACAAAGATATTCAGGACTTAATCTCAGCACTGGATCAAATGGACCTGATAGACATCTACAGAACTCTCCACCCAAAAACAACAGAATATACATTGTTCTCATCATCATCTCATGGCACATACTCTAAAATCAGCCACACAGTTGGACACAAAACAATCTTCAGCAAATGAAAAAGAATGAAAATAATAACCACTTTCTTGGACCACAGCACAATAAAATTAGAAATCAAGACCAAGAAAATCGCTCAAAACCATACAATTACATGGAAATTAAACAACGTGCTCCTGAATGATTTTTTGGCAAGAAATGAAATTAAGGCAAAAATCAAGAAGTTCTTTGAAACTAATGAAAACAAAGAAACAACATACCAGAATCTCTGGAACACAGCTAGTGTTAAGAAGGAAATGTACAGCACTAAACACCTACATCAAAAAGTTAGAAAGACCTCAATTTACAAAGTAACATCACAACTAAAAGAACTAGAGAATGAAGAGCAAATCAACCCCAAAGCTAGAAGACAAGAAATAATCAAAATCAGAGCTGAATTGGAGACTGACACACAAAAAAAATTCAAAAGATCAACAAATCCAGGAGTTGGTGTTTTGAAAAAAAATTAGTATCTATTTGATAGACGGCTGGCTAGACTAATAAAGAGAGAAGATCCAAGTAAACACAATTAGAAACAACAAAGAAGATATTATCACTGACACCACAGAAATATGAACACCTCTATGGACACAAACTAGAAAATCTAGAAGGAATGGATAAATTCCTGAACATACACTCTCTCCCAAGACTGAACCAGGAAGAAACTGAATCCCTGATGAGACAAATAATGAGCTCTGAAATTGAATCAGTAATAAACAGCCTACCAACCAAAAAAAAAGCCCAGGACAAGATGGATTCACAGTCAAACTCTACCAGGTATACATAGAAGAGCTGGTACCAGTCCTACTGAAGCTTTTCCAAAAAAATTAAGGAGGAGGGACTCCTCCCTAACTCATCTACGAGGCCAGCATCACCCTGATACCAAAACCTGGTGGAGACACAACAACAAAAACCTCAGGCCAATATCCCTGATGAACATTGATGCAAAAATCCTCAAAAAATACTGGCAAACTGAACCCAGCAACAAATCAAAAAGCTTATCCACCACCATCAAGTAGGCTTTATCTCTGGGATGCAAGGTTGGTTCAACACATCCAAATCAATAAATGTGATTCATCACATAAATGGAACTAAAGCCAAAAACCACATGATCATCTCAATCAATGCAGAAAAGGCTTTTTGATAAAATTCCATATCCCATTATATTAAAAAAAAAACTCTGAATAAACTAGGAATTGAAGAAACATACCTCAAAATAATAAGAGTCACCTATGTCAAAACCACAGCCAACATCATACCAAATGGGCAAAAGCTGGAAGCATTCCCCCTGAAAACCGGCATAACAAAAGGATGCTCTCTCTCACCACTCCTATTCAACATAGTATTGGAAGTCCTGGCCAGAGCAATCAGGTGAGAGAATGAAATAAAGGGCATCCAAATAAGAAGAGAGGAAGTCCAACTATCCCTGTGTGCAGACATGATACTATATCTAGGAAAGCCAATAGTCTTGGCCCACAAGCTCCTTAAGCTGATAAACAACTTCGGCAAAGATCCAGGATACAAAATCAATATAAAAAATCACTAGTATTCCTATATACCAACAACAGTCGAGCTGAAAGCCAAATCAGGAATGCATTCCCATTCATGACTGTCACAAAAAGAATAAAATACCTAGGAATACAGCTAACTGGGGAGATGAAAGCAAAACACTGCTCAACGAAATCAAAGATAACACAAACAAACGGAAAAACATTCCATGCTCATGAATAGGAGAAATCAATATTGTTAAAATGGCCATACTGCCCAAAGCAACGTATAGATTCAATGCTATTCCTATCAAACTGCCAACGACATTCTTCGCAGAATTAGAAGAAACTATTTTAAAATTCATATGGAACCAAAAAGAGCCCAAACAGCCAAGGCAATCCTAAGCAAAAAGAGCAAAGCTGGAGGCATCAGGCTACCCAACTTCAAACTATACTACAAGTCTACAGTAACCTAAACAGCATGGTACTGGTATACAAAAAGACACACAGACCAATGGAATAGAATAGAGAGCCCAGAAACAAGGCCACACACTCCTACAACCATCTGATCTTTGACAAAGCTGACAAAAACAAGCAATAGGGAAAGGATTTCCTGTTCAATAGATGGTGCTGGGATAACCGATGTCATATGCAGAAGATGGAAACTGGACCCCTTCCTTACACCACAGACAAAAATCAACTCAAGATGGATTAAAGACTTAAATGTAAAACCCAAAATGATAGAACCCTGGAAGACAACCTTCAGGACTAGGCATGGGCAAGGATTTCATGACAAAGATGCCAAAAGCAATTGCAACAAAAGCAAAAATTGACAAATGGGATCTAATAAAACTAAAGAGCTTCTGCACAACAAAAGAAACTATCCACAGATTAAACAAACAACCTACAGAATGGGAGAAAATTTTTCTAACTATGCATCTGACAAAGTTCTAATATCAAGCATCTATAAGGAACTTGAATTATTTACAAGAAAAAAACAAGCCCATTAAAAAGTGGGCAAAGGACATGAACACTTTTCAAAGACATACACATGGCCAACAAGCACATAAAAAAAAAAAAACTCAACATCGCTGATCATTAGAGAAATGCAAATCAAAACCACAATGAGATACCATCTCACACCAGTCAGAATGGCTATTATTACATCATCAAAAAATAACAGAAGTTGGTGAGGTTGCAGAGAAAAGGGAACCCTTATACACTGTTGGCGGGAGTGTAAATTAGTTCAACCATCGTGGAAAGCACTGTGGTGATTCCTCAAAAAGCTAAAAACAGAATTACCATTCGGCCAAGAAATCCCATAACTGTGTATATACCCAAAGGAATAGAAATCATTCTATCATAAAGACACAGGCACACATATGTTCACTGCAGCACTACTCACAATAGCAAACACATGGAATTAACCTAAATGCCCATCGATGGCAGACCAGATAAAGAAAATGTGGTACATATGCATCATGAAATACTACGCAGCCATAAAAAAGAAGATCATGTCCTTGGCAGGAAGATGGATGGAGCTGGAAGCTATTATCCTCAGCAAACTAACGCAGGAACAGAAAACCAAATACCACACGTTCTCACTTAGAAGTGGGAGATAAATGATAACATATGGAAACATAGAGGGGAACACCACACACTGGGGCCTACCTGAGGGTGGAAGGTGGGAGGAAAAAGAGGACCAGAAAAATAACTATTGGGTACTAAGCCTAAAATCTGGTCAATGAAATCATTTGTACAACAAACCCCGGTGACACGAGTTTACCTATATAACAAACCTGCACATGTAACACTGAACTTAAAAGTTAAAAAAGAAAGAAAATGTATATTCCAAAAGAGAATACTATAATAGGAAAAGAAAAAGGAATCATTCTTTAATGAAAACAACTATTTTGAATAATTAATTAGTTATTGGGGGAGGGGAAAAATTTAAAAGAGCAAAACCAGGGATATTTTGGTTTAAGAAGCCAAAGGAAAAAAATCTCAAGTTCAAGTTTAATTGTATCATTAACTCAATTTTTCGTAGTATAATTATAATATACAAGAAGAAATTGCTCATATTCAAAGAATGTCTTCCCAGTTATCTTTCCATGTTAACTTTTTGAAAACAGGAGGCAGGAGGTAAATCTATGTTTTGTCACTAGTTATGTGACCCACAAAAAATGCTGAAGAATTCTTCCACTTTGTTTTTACTTCCATAGTACTAGCTCCAAAATAGTCTTCTGATGATTAGGTAAGACAATGTATAGAAAGTGTTCTGTAACGCCAACTATTATTAATATTAGAATTACCTTGCTGATTCTGGATCCAAAATCAGGGCTTCTATTGCATGAGATATCAGTAAACAGCTCTGCTGCTGTCTGGATTGATGTTAAGGTTACATACGAAAATAGAGAAGAAACCCGCTATAGGTTTCTATTACTTGAATACTAAATTGGTCAAGATTTAATGATTGCCTAGTGAAGGTAATCATAATGTTATCAACTCGAATGGTCTGGGGCTCTACCTTTTCTTTTTAAGGGATATACATTGTCTATAATAGTGATCCTCAGACTCTGTTCCAAGAAGGGTACTTCGGAGGCTACTACTGTGGGAAGGGGAAATCAAGTGATAGGCCCCGTGATTCAATTACAGCAAGTCTGTTTTTATCTGTCTTAGATATAGGGGTTTTTCATAAGAGTTTGAGACAAACAAGCAAATAAAGCTTTCACTGATAAAAGTTAAAAAAAAAATAGAAACAAAAACAAAACACAGTGGTCTAAGGAGCCTTTATCCCAGAGGTTCCTAATCTAGTGCTCAAGAGGTCTGGCAACTCCCTGAACTTACATGCACATTTTGGGTGTCTCTGTATATATGCATTTTGTAGGGCAGAGGGCCCATAGCATTCACTGGGTTTCAATCAGTAAACTAAATGCCAAGAACTACTGATTGGAAAGTCCTACAACTTAAAAAAAGAATTTCTATTCCTTCCTTTCAAAAGTGATTTGAAGTTGCTAATAAGAAAATATGGAGAACTTAGGAAGGGTTTAAAAGTGACGACCAGGCTGGGCACGGTGGCTCACGTGTATAATCCCAGCACTTTTAGGTAGATCACTTGAGGCCAGGAGTTTGAGACCAGCCTGGCCAACATGGTGAAACCCCGTCTCTACTAAAAATATAAAAATTAGCCAGGTTGTGGTGGCACACACCTGTAATCCCAGCTACTAGGGAGGCTGGGGCAGGAGAATCGCTTGAACCCAGGAGGCAGAGGTTGCAGTGAGCCAAGATCATGCCACTGCACTCCAGCCTGGGCAACAGAGTGAGACTCCATCTCAAAAAAAAAAAAAAAAAAAAAGTGACAACTAATGCTACTGAAGAGATCATTAATAAAGGTGATAAAAACTAGGACTGTTGGCCACAAAGAAAGGTGAGGTGAAATACATGTTCTTTGGTGGGAAAATGTGTTGTGTTGTCTGTTGTAGCTCAAGTGAGCACAGGTAAGCAACACTGGCTTTGGATGTTGCTTTGGATGCTCTTTCTGGATATAAAAAAGACACCTTCGAGTCACCATTTTTTGTTAAAATCCTGGGTAAAGTTAAAAAGTAAGATTATTCTGCTTATATATTTTAAAGGGGAAACTATATAATAAATTTATAGGGTTATTTAACATGTATTTTGTAGGTAAGCATATCTGAGGTAGTCCGTATTTAAAAGAATACTTCCAAAAAGAACAAGAAGTACTAGGGCAAGCTTGGGATACAGTTCAACATTCCTCAAAGTTGCTGAGTCAGCATCAAAAGATGCCTGGTAAAGATCTCCATATCGAGAAGCAAGGCTTCGAAATTCTTCCATGGACTGTTTCATCTATAAAAAAAAATCAATTATGACAAACAAACATGCTATCATTATTGTATAAACAACACAAAAACCAAAACAAAAAAAAGCACCTTCAAACAATAACAATTCAAAAAAAATACTGCCATCTTTTCACTGTCATTCCATTCATTTTCATAAACTTTGTTAAATAAAAACAAAAATGGCAAATGAAACTATACATGTTCACAAGATTATTATATATGACATATAGAAACAAAAACATTTGTATTTTAGCGTCTTCAAGTTCCACTAAAATAATTTAGTTATAAACATTCTCAAGTTTTTAAAAAAATCTGTCCTTTCTCTTTATATAAATATGTAGCACCCATTGAGATAACATGAATCACTTTATCTTTCTAATAACACATCAGCCTATTTTTTAGCCAGACAGTTGAGTGAATAAACATTTATGATAATGTCTGAGTCAAACCACTGATTTTATATTTTACAACTTTTCATCTTATAACTTCGAAAACCTCTAAAGTGTAAATAAAAAATGCACTGAAAGTTAAGACATGCCTGATTGGAGATGCGACCACACCTCTGGAGGTCATTTCCTAAGGTCATGGCAATTGTTGTGGCAATTGCAGGTGGTGGGCTTGTCTTCAGGCTATTACAAGTACAGATAAGTTGAGAGAAGGCTTGTAAAAGGTCAATCCTGAGTTTTACAAATTCACACTGAAAGCTTAAAGGATTCAGTGGTGTACTAGCTGCCTGGGAAAAAAAAAAAAAAGAGATATTTAAGACAAAGTAAACAGAACAGTGAGATGGGGCAGTACCAAGTATTTATCAGTTTGTGGTCAAGTGCAGTAGTTCTCTAAAAACACTGACGGATAAAGACCTAAATGATAAAAAGAATAATGTAATATTAGAATGAAAAATATTGTTATTAAACACCAGCTCTGAAAAACTGTATGTACAACCACTATTCAAAGGTTCCTTACTGCCTACATTCACAAAGACCCCATAATATGTGAATTGTCAAGAACATCATCAAGAAGATAATCACGGCCAGGTGCGGTGGCTCACGCCTGTAATCCCAGCACTTCGGGAGGTCGAGGCGGGTGGATCACAAGGTCAGGAGATCAAGACCACCCTGGCTAACATGGTGAAACCCCGTCTCTATTAAAAATACAAAAAAATTAGCTGGGCGTTGTGGCGGGTGCCTGTAGTCCCAGCTACTCGGGAGGCTGAGGCAGGAGAATGGCGTGAACCCGGGAGGCGGAGTCTGCTGTGAGCCGAGATTGCACCACTGCACTCCAGCCTGGGCGATAGAACGAGACTGTCTCAAAAAAAAAAACAAAGAAAAAAGAAGATAATCGCATAAGGGATGCTTCAAGGACATTACCATCCCCCAAAATCCCCTATTACTTTGCTACCTTCCTAATCTGAAATTCCCATCACTGGAACCTTGTAAAGTCGGGGGCAGAAAGAAAAAGAAAGATAAGGGCAGGAGGAATATGTTTCTAGACAGTCACTGTTTTTAAAAAAAAATGGACATTGCCTCAAAGTTACCCTCTTCCACTGCTAGCCCAAATTTCTTTTTCTTTTTCTTTTCTTTTTTTTTTTTTTTTTTTTTTGAGACAGGGTATCATTCTATCACCCAGGCCGGAGTGCAGTGGTACAATCATGTCTCACTGCAGCCTCAACTTCCTGGGCTCAAATTATCCCCCCACCTGAGTTTCCCAAGTAGCCGGGACTAAGGGTGCGTACCACCATGCCTGGCTAATTTTTTTTTTTTTTTGAGACAGTTTCGCTCTTGTTGCCCAAGCTGGAGTGCAATGGCACGATCTCGGCTCACTGCAAGCTCCGTCTTCCGGGTTCAAGCAATTCTCCTGCCTCAGCCTCCTGAGTAGCTGGGACTACAGGCGCCTGCCACCACGCCTGGCTAATTTTTTGTATTTTTAGTAGAGACGGGGTTTCACCGTGTTAACCAGGATGGTCTCGATCTCCTGACCTCATGATCGGCCTGCCTCAGCCTCCCAAAGTGCTGGGATTACAGGTGAGAGCCACCGCGCCTGGCTGTGCCCAGCTAATTTTTTTTTGTAGAGACAGGGTCTCACTATGTTGCTCAGGCTGGCCTCAAACTCCTGTAGCTCAGATTAATTTTAAAAATAATTCCTGAGTAGACACTTCAGAAAGCACAGAGAAGACACCAAGGAAGAAGAGGTTATAACACACAAATAAGTTTCAATGAGGATGGAGGGGTATCAGGGGTAAGTCTTGGGTAGCATTAGCTAGGTAGAAAAGGTAAATGGTAAGGCAAGCCAGGGTGGGCAGAGAACTAAGAAAACCTTTAACTATTTGGCAACTGTCCTAGTGGAGATCCTAGCACTATGTAGTTTTAACAAAAGGCACATACTAAAAATGTGCTAATTTAACAATAAACAGAGGCATAGTGAAAATTTTCCTCTATGACATGACACACTTAAAACACGCTGATGCTGTTTCTTAGATACTATCTCACATTAGTCTTTTAGCAAAAGAGCCAGACATGATTTTGGGGTTCTAGAAGTCAGTTACAATATTATCTGGCCAATTTTACCTCATATTGACCTTAGCAAACAAAAGATTAGTATCCAGAACATATAAAGTACTCTTATAAACCAGTAAGAAAAAGACATAAAAACTAGTAGGAAAATGAGCAAAAATCTTCAAAAGGAACTTCACAGAAAATAAAACACAAATGGTCAAACATATGAAACAAATGTCTAATTGTATTAGTAATCCGGGAAAAGCCAATCATAAGCTTTAGAACCTACCAGACAAAGAGAAAAATGTATGGCAATAGGAACTCTTATACACTGCTGGGAGGACTTTAAATCTGTAAAGCCACTGGGAAAAAACTGGTATTAGCTAGTCAATTTAAAGATGCACATAACCTGTGCAATTCCACTCTTAGGTAATATCTTACAGCAATATCTCTAAACAGGAACAGGAGTATTCTTAGCATTGCAGGAGATTAGGTATTTAGCTACTGACCATTACTACCAGTAGCAATGCTTCCCAACTCCCCATCACTGTGACAAAAAGAAACATCCACACACACTTCCAAATTGGAGCAGGGGGAAGATACACAGCTCCGAGTGAGGTCCACTGCCCTAGAGAAGGGTGTTTCTCTACTTGAGTACTACTGACATTCTGAACTGAATAAATTCTTTGTTGAGGGGGGCTCTCCTGTGCATTCCCTCTGCACTAAATACCAGTAACAACTGGGCAAGTGGTGATAGCCAAAAAACGCTCCAGATACTGCCAAATATCCCCTGGAGGATAAAACCATCCCTGGTTGAGAACCACTGTCCTAGAGAAACCTTTGCAGTAAGTGCATCAAAAGATATGTACAAGAATGTTCAGAGCAGTATGTTGGTAACAGCAAGAAACTGGAGAAATCAAAATGCTTATCAACACTATAGAGTGGGAAAATAAATTGATGTATATTCTTATGATGCAAGACTATATGGCAGGGAAATTGACCTACAGCTTCCTGCAACAAAATGGATGAATCTTAGGAACATAATTTAGATGATCAAAGCAAGTCAAAGAAAAATATGACTCCTTTTTACATAAAATTCAAAAACAAGCAACATAAAACAGAACTTTCTTTAGAGTTACAAAAAAGCATGTTGAAATTACAAAGAAAGGGCCGGGCATTGGGCTCACGCCTATAATGCCAGCACTTTGGGAGGCCAAGGCGGGTGGATCACCTTAGGTCAGGAGTTCGAGACCAGTCTGGCAAACATGGTGAAACCCTGTCTCTACTAAAAATACAAAAATTAGCCAGGCATGGTGGAGAGCGCCTGTAATCCCAGCTACTTGGAAGGGTGAGGCAGGAGAATCACTTGAACCTGGGAGGTGGAGGTTGCAGTGAGCCAAGATCGTGCCACTGCACTCCAGCCTGGTGACAAGAGTGAAACTCAGTCTCAAAAAAAAAAAAAAAAAAAAAGAAAAGAAAAGAAAAAGAAAAAGAAAAAATTATAAAGAAAGGCAATGGAACAGTAAACACAAGATGCAAAGTACTGTTACCTTTGTGGAAAGGAAACAGTATACAAATGTGGAGGTGCACATAAGAATTTTACTTTTTTTCTCTTTAGGAGACAGTGTCTTGCTATGTGACCCAGGGTATTATTCACAAGCATATAAGAATTTTAAAAGGTAATGGTAATGTCCTATTTTCTAACTGGATGTTTGGATATTTGTTGTATTTTTTTATGCCCTACATAATACATGTGTAGATATTATGCCTATTCAATATTTAATAACAAAAATTAAATGATTAAAAAAAAACTATTGTAGGAAGAACGCTAAGCTGGTTCCTCTGATTCAAGTTCCCTGGTATCCACACCTTGGGCAGGCTGAATATCACTAGTTTGAAAACCTAAAATCTGAAATGATCCAAATTCTGAAATGCTCCAAAATCTGAAACTGACATGATGTTCAAAGGAAATGTTCATTGGAACGTTTCAAATTTTGAA